>NT_187641.1:0-209512 GCF_000001405.40 Homo sapiens | reverse complement strand
GAATTCCCCATGAGTCCTGTGACCTCAGCCCACACGGGGACCTACAGGTGCTACGGCTCACTCAGCTCCGACCCCTACCTGCTGTCTCACCCCAGTGGCCCCGTGGAGCTCGTGGTCTCAGGTGAGGGCGCTGACCCTGTCCTCTCTGAGCTCAAAGGCTCAGCTCAGGCCCTGCCCCCAGCAGAGCTCTGGACACTAAGGAAAGAGGGGAGTGAAGGGAGAGGGTCCGCAGGGGAGGGTCCAGCCCATGGGAAGATGGAAATAGACAGGGACCTCCCACCCCTGGCTCCCACCCCTGAAGTCTCAGTAGAGTAAAGTGCAGGGAGGGCTGGGAGGAGACGGGGGGTGAACCTCAAAGGAGTTGAGATTAGACTGAGGGTGGAAGACGGAGGCCCCACCTGCTCCCATCCTGGTGTCTCCACCTCAGAATCAGAGCCTCTGTGTCCCAGTCCCCAACAGACGCCCTCCTGGAGAGAGAAGCATCCAGGCTGCCGGTGCCACCTGCATCCACCCCCGACCCCCCCCCACCCCGCCCCACTTCCTGCTTTCCCCTGCAGCCTCCCCAGCACTCAGCGCACACCTGAGCCTCACAGGGACTTGCACGTGCTCCCGCAGCAGCTCAGGGAATGTGCACCGCTCCTCTTCTGCGCCGTTGACATTTTTTATTTGGGTTTTTAAAATCTCATATTGGCCTTTTTGTCCAAGCTGGTGAAAGTAGATTTGCAGCATCACCTATTTTTATTCTCACCCGGTTTCGTAATAGCCCTGATCTCACGTGCTCCCTGAGGTTTTGTAAACTTCAGGTAGAAATGTGGACTTCCTTCGTTCTGGACATTTGCTATGGAGGGGGTAGGGCTTATCTTTTCAGAAAAAGTCAAATGACTGGTACCACTCCTTGAAACCCTACAGCACTTTCCAGACCTCAGAGGGAGGGAGAGAGAGGCAGAGACAGAGACAGAGAGACAGAGAGAGAGATATTGGGGCCGCTCTTTCCTGGCCGGTTCATCCTGGCCTATTCTCAATCCACCAAGGCCCCGAAGCTCATCTCCCCTCCTCCTCTGCCTCCTCCTCCACCCTGTAGACAAGCGGCCATTCCTTTCTGAAGAACAGGCTGAGACCTTTCTGGGACCTGCTCTTTCTGGAGCCTCTGTTGCTCCCTGTCTGGGTCTCCACACGCCTCCTTCCTGGCCCTTTTTCCTATTGAGGAATCAGCTTCAATGTCACCTCCAAGTGTGACCTTCACTGACGACACAGCTCAGCCCAGTCCTGCCTGCTTCTCATTTATGTCAAGTAATTAACCAACCTACACCATGCGGCTGAATTCCTTCTCTCTCTCTTCCACTCTCTGC
Source organism: Homo sapiens (assembly GCF_000001405.40). Taxonomy (NCBI): domain Eukaryota; kingdom Metazoa; phylum Chordata; class Mammalia; order Primates; family Hominidae; genus Homo; species Homo sapiens. The sequence continues at coordinate 208,163 of NT_187641.1, read as the reverse complement.
ATATACGTGTGTGTGTGTGTGTGCGCGTGTGTGGTCACACCAACATCTTACGTGACATTGAAACCTAGTTATCCGTATATCTATACAAATAATATATATTCACACATAAATATAGGTCTCTACCAATATATCTAAAACCATTGCTACGACTAGTAAATTTCCACTGCTGTGTTTCTATATGTTTGCTGTTTGTCTCCAGGTGAACCCACACTTCAAGAAGGCAGAGATAGTTTTTAAGGCCCACTATATATATAAAACAGATATATATTTGTGTTTGTGTTTTTCTGTGTGTGTATCACATTCTACCTGTTGCTGCCTATACGAATAATTAGCTACCTAGAGATTAAATGGACAATGAAACTCCAGGTGAAGTGGCTGAGGGCATGAAGGGGAGGCAGCCCCAGAATTTCACCCCTTTGTGCTTCTGACATTGAGGCTCCCCTGATGACTAACCCTCATCCACGGAGCCTGGGTCCTCAGCTGGTGGATCCGTGAAACTCTCATCTCCGGGGGAGTTGGCTCATGTTCTCCTGTGTCCCAGGCTGCACAGAGAGCACACAGGCCTTAGTGACCTCTGTACTGGGGACCACTTTCCTTGCAGATCCTGAGCTCTCAGGATGCAGGAAAACTCTCTCCCAGATGACTCAGGAGCAATGTTTAAATCCATAGAACACAGGAAAACTGAAATCGTTCAATGAGGAGACTAGAGGGAATCCTGCTAGCGGAGGAAGAGGTTTTTTTTTTTTTTTTTTAGAAATTCTGTAAAAGTCACATCATGAGACATTAAGTAATAAAAAAAAAATTGCAGAGCCCAGGTGAGAGGCTGGGCTCAGGTCTCTTTTTCTCTGTTTTGATTCTCTGGAGCAGCTGATACCCTCAGCCCATCACAAAACAAGTCTGACTCTGAGACTGGTATGTGAGGAGATACTCTCAGTGATGGGGCTGGCACTGAGGGTTGGGTCCTGTGAAGGGGAGGTGGGTGCCCTGGGTGGACAATCTGATCCACCCTGACCTCTGTGACCTCTTTGTCCACCATCCCCAGCCTCACACCTTCAGGATTACGCAGTGGAGAATCTCATCCACATGGGCGTGGCTGGCTTGATCCTGGTGGTCCTCGGGATTCTGTCATTTGAGGCTTGGCACAGCCAGAGAAGCTTCCCAAGATGCAGCCGGGAGGTGAACAGCAGAGAGGATAATGTACTTTATAGAGTCGTGAAGCCTCAGGAACAGATCTGATGATCCCAGGAGGTTCTGGAAGAAAATCTAGGGCCGATGCTATCTGGACTGTCTGCTGGTCATTTCCAGAGGAAGGAATCAATGTCCGAGTGCAGGGACATTTTCTGGGGTGATCCATGGAGAACCATTAAAATGTGATACCTTTCCTCTCCATTAATGTTGACTTTCCTTGGTTGGATCTGCCTCTTTTCCCACACTTAGACATGAGGCTCCATCCCACATGGCAGCGTTGGGTCCACACCTCTGCACACCTGCATGCTCTGGTCCATGGCGTGTCACACAGTCCTCTTCATTTCTCATTGCCACACTTCCTGGTGTACTTTACTGGGTCTTCATGTCTTCAGTTCAGAGTTCCGCACCTGGTTTAGGAACTAATTCAACGGGAGAAGATCAGAGTCCGACCAGGAAAAGATAAATGCACCGTGATGCCCTCACCTCCTGTGTGGACCCTATGAGCTCTTCCCTCCTTATCAGATGCTATCTGTGTAGTTTCTCCTGAAATATCACCACCTGGAATCAACACACTGGCATTTGAAGTCACGACCCAATGGTATGCTAATTCTGAAAAAGACATTTTTTGAAATGCTATGATTAGTGGCATTTACCAATTTCCTTGACGTAAATTCTTTTTTCATGGCCATAATCAAGATGCCAACGAGACATCCCTGAATGCAGGGTTGGGAAGCGTTGGACAGACTTGTCTTCACTCATAAGCACCAGGCATCTGATAGCTCACGTATACATCTTATTACCTTCCATTTTAGAGTGAATAATCATTTCTACTTCAGTATTTTGGCACAGGTAAAAGCAGTCCCATTACTGCGCGTATACCCAAAGGAATATAAATCATTCTATTGCAAAGATACATGCACACATGTGTTCATCGCAGCACTATTCACAATAGCAAAGACATAGAATCAACCCAAATGCCCATCAATGATAGACTGGATAAAGAAAATGTGAGACATATACACCACGGAATACTATGAAGCCATAAAAAGAAACAAGATCATGTCCTTTGCAGGGACATGGATGGAGCTGGAAACCATTATCCTCAGGAAACTAACACAGGAACAGGAAATCAAACGCTGCATGTTCTCACTTACAAGTGGGTGCTGAACAATGAGAATGCGTGAACACAGGGAGGGGAACAACACACACTGGGGCCTGTCGGGGGGGGGGTGGGGTAGGGGTAGGGAGAGCATTAGGAAAAATAGCTAATGTATGCTGGGCTTAATACCTAGGTGATGGGTTGACAGGTGCAGGAAACCACCATGGCGCACATTGACCTATGCAATAAGCCCACACATTCTGCACATGTACCCCGGAACTTAAAATAAAAATAAAAATTAAAATTAAATTATGACACCATGATCCTAGCATATCCAAAAAAGACAAAAATGCCAATATCAAATGTCGGAGAAAATAGGGCTGAATTAAAAATCCAATACAACGCCGGGCGCAGTGGCTCACGCCTGTAATCCCAGCACTTTGGGAGGCCAAGGTGGGTGGATCACTTGAAGTCAGGAGTTTGAGACCAGCCTGGCCAAACGTGGTGAAACCCTGCCTCTACTAAAAATACAAAAATTAGCCGGGTGTGGTGGCACTCGCCTGTAGTCCTAGCTACTAGGGAGGCTGAGGCAGGAGAATCACTTGAACCCGGGAGGCGGAGGTTGCAATGAGCTGAGATCATGCCACTGAACTCCAGCCTGGGTGACAGAGCGAGACTCCGTCTCAAAAAAAAAAACAAAAAAAAAAAACCCTCAAAAGCTCAGGCAGCAAAAGCAAAAATAGGCAAATGAGATCATAGCAAACTGCAAACCTTCTGCACAATCAAGGAAACAAACAGCAGAGTGAAGAGACCACCTACAGAATGGGAAAGAATATTTGCAAGCAAGAGATTAATCTCCAGAAAATACAAGGAGCTCAAACAATGCAGAGGTTTTGAAGGATGGTGATGAGAAGGTTCTGCTACTTACAGAAAGGAAGTTTAGGAGAAACAAAACCACAAACCTAGGTGGTGGGATGGCTTGATCTGCTTCTGTCTGTGACTCACTTAACAGTCTTAAACACATCTCCCTAAGCCTCCTTCCCCCGGTGGGATTCCTGGGTCTTGTGAGGACCTCATCGGTCCCTCTGGTAAACCCAGGCACAGAGTGGAGCAGCTCTTGTTTTCTCAGGATCTTCCCCTTCACATACAATTAACGCACCCACACGATGCTACTCTTAGAACCCTTCAAATAAATGTTTCCCGGTTCATTCACTACCAGAATCCAAGCTCAGCTTGTTCCCCAGCTTAGGACTGAGTGGTATCTTGGAGGTAGTTTCCACCATAGCCCCCTTCCTCTGCTATAAGGCTCAGTGACACACCAGAGACACCCCCTCCAGCCAGGCTCCTGGAAGGTCTGGATGAAGACTGGGATGCTGAGGCATTGCTCAGCAATGTGGCTTAACTCAAACTTCTATGTGAAACTTCCAACCACTTTCAGCAAGGGGTCACTTCCAGCGTCTTGGGGTGTGAGGGCACTTTGGTTGGTCCCTGCAATATCAGACCCTATAAAGATCCTACAAACATGTTGCAGACTCTTTGAAGATTCTGGCACTTTCAGACATGCTGTTGGGAAATGGTGACACCCATAACCTTCTAGTTCCAGGACAGGGAGCCTTAGCCCAGGGCTATGTTTTCTGAGGGTCCTCAAAGTAAACAGTTCTATGTGCCAGGAGAACCCTAAATCTCATATGGTTCTAAGGGCAGAAAGCCACACACGCACCGGCAAAAAGCAAGAGATTCAAGGAAAAGCTGAGCAAAGACAGACAGGAAAACACACACATGATGAGCCAGCTTGTAGAGCTAGAACTGAGATGGAGAGAGGCACGAGTGGGTAACAGAGTGTGCTCCCCAGAACAGGTGGAGAGAATGCCTTTTTCATGCCCTGAGGATAGGCTGGGTAAGGCTTGTGCTCGACAGTCAAGGACTATTTTTTTCCCCAGGCGTCTACAAGAGACCTTCCTTCTCAGCTCAACTGTGCCCTGCAGTAAGTAATGATGGAGAGAATGTGACTTTGCTCTGCAGCTCTGGAAGCTCATTTGACCTGTGCCTTCTAACGAGGAAGGTAAGGCCCCTGGACACTGGCTCACTGGGGTGCAGAGACAGAGTGGGGCATTCAGGCCAACTTCTCTCTGGGTCTTGGGGCTGGTGATGGGACCTCTAGATGCTGCAGCTCTCTGTCGATGGCTCTGCCTGTGAGTGATCAGCCCTAGATGACCACTGTTACTGGGGGTAGCCCATGCCTGCTGCATGCCCTGTGAAACACTAAATCATATAGCCACGTCTGAGGGACAGCCTGCTGGAGACATGGGAATCTTAGGGATTCCAGACAAAATGAAGCAATGAGAAACACAAAGAGGAAAAGAGAGGTTGAGTATGACAGTGGTGTCAGGGTGTAGGGTGGTAGACAGGGCAGCTCCACACTCTCCACTGCTTCCTGTCTGGAGGCCCACTTTGGGGTCCTACTTATCCAGGTGAGTGAAGGAAGAGGTCAGGACAAACACAGGAGGTGAAGCCAGATACAGTGTGGGGAGATAAGCAGTGGCCTCAGCCTCTAGCCCTTTTCCATCTTCCAGAAGCCCCTCCTGAGCTCTCATCACAGACAGATTTCCCATTTGGAAACCCAGATATTTATCATGCCGGGGGGGGGAGGCAATGTCTCTTGATTATGGGGACTTTCCATCACCAGGCACCTGCTAGTCCTCTCTATACCTTCCCTTCAGGAAAGGAATTGTCCCTCATGGGATTCCAGGGAAGAGACCCCAGGACCCCTATCAGTCACTAGGGAGATGACAGAGTAGAGGAAGTCAGGGGACCAACCCTCCACAGAGAATGGTCCTACTTCAGTGGGGTGAGGGAAACTCTCACTCATCCATTTGCTGTCCTGTTACCTCGGAACCCTAAGAGAACTTGTTAGTCACACACAGAATCTACCCCTGAATGTGGTGTGCAAAGTGGGGCTCTTAGCCTCCAGTGTGAAGTCCCTGGGAAGATGGAATGTCCCTGTGTGAGTGAAGGCTGTGCCACCGCCCAGCTATGTGGCCTTGGGCTAGGCAACCCCTCCCAGGTCCCCAGTTCCCCATCTGCATCGGAGACTGTGGCCAGTGCGGGAATCCACAAGGCCCTTCAGCCTCCAAAGCTCTGGGACAGAGGCCTCGTCCACAGGGAGGAAGGGGTCAGAGTGACCTGAGTCCCTACTCAGGAGCGAGTCTAATCCACTCTCCATCGGGGCCTGTGGGGAAGGGAAGATGAAGAAACGGAGCCTGCACCTGGCTATGTGGGCGCAGTAGATTAAGGGGAGGATGAGGGTTCCTGAGAGTGTGTCATGTGGCAGAGACCCTGCAGCACACTCAGGAAGGGCTCTGGAAGGATCCAAGGAAATTTTCCAAGAAGAGGGCAGAGTAAGTGACAGAGACCCTCAACCATGGATTTCACTGAGGTGCCCATGATGACATAGGGAGAACGGGGGTGTCTGGGCAGGAAGAATATCGTCAGGGTGAAATGAATGGTGATGAGCTTCGTGTCAGAGCTCCTGTGGAGGGAGGGGCCTGGCCCACATGAAAAGGTCTCTGATCCTACCCCAGCCCCCAGCCCCTGTTCTCCAGGATGACACTGTGGGAATTCCATCAGGAGGGGTGTGATAGGGCTGGTCTTCCTGGCTCGATTCACAACACTGGCTGGGGACTGGGAACCCATGGGGAGCCACAGGTGGAAAGGGAGGAGCCTCAGTGAACCCAGCAGGAACAAACATAGGGTCTGACATGATGGAACTCACTTCCTGGAGGCCAAGAAAGACACTTGCGGGACAAAAGGGAAAGAGCGGTGGCTTGCTTAGTTCCATTCACTGACAACCCACAGGAGATGTCCAGTCCTTTTTTGATTTATTATTTTATTTTATTATATTTTATTTTATTTTATTTTATTTTCACATGGAGTTTTGCTCCTATTGGCCAGGCTGGAGTGCAATGGCACGATCTTGACTCACTGCAACCTCCACCTCTCAGGTTCAAGCGATTCTCCTGCCTCAGCCTCCTGCATAGCTGGGATTACAGGCGACTGCCACCACAGCCAGGTAATGTTTGTATTTTTAGTAGAGATGAGGTTTTGCCATCTTGGCCAGGCTGGTCTCAAACTCCTGATCTCATGTGATCCGCCTGTATCAGACTGCCAAAGTGTTGGGATTACAGGCGTGAGCCACCACACCCAGCCTTTTGTATTTTTAGTAGAGATGGGGTTTCACCATGTTGGTCAGGCTGGTCTTAAACTCCTGACCTCAGGTGATCCATCCACCTCGGCCACCCAAAGTGCTGGGAGTACAGATGTTAGCCACCGTACCCAGCGAGAGTTTCAGTGCTCTATCGGATTCCCTGCCTACTCCATGTTGCATGTAATGTTCCACCTCAGGGATGTTTCTCTCCTTTCTGTCTCCTTCCTCTTCTCCTTTTCCTTTTTTCTTTCTAATTTTTATTTTTTTGAGACAGAGCCTTGCTCTGTTACCCAGGCTAGAGTACAGTGGCACGATCCCAGCTCACTGCAACCTCTGCCTCCTGGGTTCAAGAGATTCTCCTGACTCAGCCTCTCGAGTAGCTGGGATTACAGGCACCCGCCATCACACCCAGCTAGTTTTTGTATTTTTAGTAGAGACGAGGTTTCACCATGTTGGCCAGACTGGTCTTGAACTCCTGCCCTCAGGTAATCCACCCGCCTGTGGCCCCCCAAAGTGCTGGGATTACAGGCGTGAGTCACCACTCCCAGCCCTGAATGATCTTTCCTCTTTAGTGTGTTCTCACAACCACCTCTCACTGAGCTTTCTTGTTTTTTGTTTTTGTTTTTGTTTTTGTTTTTGTTTTTGTTTTTGGCAGAGTCTGGCTTTGTTGCCTATGCTGGAGTGCAGTGGTGCAATCTCAGCTCACTGCAACCTCCGTCTCCTGGGTTCAAGCGATTCTCCCACCTCAGCCTCCTGAGTAGCTGGGATTACAGGCACCCACCACCACACCCAGCTAATTTTTGCATTTTTAGTAGACACAGGGTTTCACCATGTTGGTCAGGCTGGTCTCGAACTCCTGACCTTGTGATCTGCCAGCCTCAGCCTCCCAAAGTGCTGGAATTACAGGCATGAGCCACCACTCCCAGCCCTGGATTATCTTTCCTCTTTAGTGTGTTCTCACAACTACCTCTCACTGCTGGGTTTTCTCTCTTTCTTTTTTTTTTTTTTTTTTTTTTTTTTTTGAGACAGTCCGGCTTTGTTGCCCAGGCTGGAGTGCAGTGGCGCGATCTCGGCTCACTGCAAGCTCCACCTCCCAGGTTCAAGCGATTCTCCCACCTCAGCCTCCCTAGTAGCTGGGATTACAGGCGCATGCCAGCACACCCAGCTAGTTTTTGTATTTTTAGTAGAGACAGGGGTTTCACCATGTTGGTCAGGCTGGTCTTGAACTCCTGACCTTGTGATCTTCCTGCCTCGGCCTCCCAAAGTGCTGGGATTACAGGTGTAAGCCACTGCACCCAGCCAGCTTTCTCATTCTTATCCCTTAGTTCTCTGCCAGGGAATAAGATAGAAACCATTCCCTCAACCACATTCTAGTCATGGTCCCTATTCTCATGTTTCCACTTCTCTCTCTTTGGTAATAAATCAATTAATTGAGAAACAAGTAGCTAAATGTTCATCTTCTGCTAGTCTGCATCCCCTTATTTTCCCAGAGCCTCCCCTAATGAAACTGACTTTATTTACTGAACGCAGGAAATGGGTCTCTCCAGATCAGGATGACTTTCTGCTGGGAAATATTTGTCTTTGCATCAGTGGGGAAAAAGAAAGCCGATGTCATGAGTGGAGGCTCTGAGAAAATAAGGGCTGTGTTTTCAGTTTAGACCCAGCTAAGTTGGGAGCTGACATAGATATGATGTTGGGTCCACCCTCCACGGGCAGGTTTTCAGACAAAGGATCCCTGGCAATCAGGGGACACCTCAGGTCTGGGCTGAGATGTGTGCAGAGGGCCTGGGTCCTCCTGAGCCCCTGCACTGGGGGGGGAATAAGAGACAGGCCCAGCAAGGGGCTGTCCACTTCCTGTGGGTTCACAGCTGTGGGGACCCAGGCAGGCGGCAGCAGGCTCTGACTTAACCACATCCGTGCATCTGTCTGTCATGGAGGGCCATGTGGTCACCTGTCCCACAGCTGGAGCACGCAGAGCAGGCATCATGGTGTCCATCCTCACTGTTCTTCTGTGCCTCAGTCAGTGGTGGAGAGACGAGGGACAGGAGGGGCACTGGGCTGAGGTGGGGAGGGTCCCACAGCAGCCTTGTTCACCAGAGAGCCTCAGGGCTCCAGTGGCTACTGGTGCTCCAACAGGAAGGGAAGCAGCCACACCTCTGTGTTCCAAATCCCCCACAGGAAACTCTTCTCCATGGCTGAGTCTGGGCCAGAAAGCCCAAGCACTTGCAGGTGAGTCTCTGCTAACCTCCCATGCCTGACCTCACACTCAGCACCTGGACTCTCATCTCAGGGGCTTCTGAACTGAGGGTGAGAAAATCAAGAGGGTCTGTGACCTGAGCTGGGAATGAGGAGCGGGGGAGGTCTGTGGACCCCAGCCTGTGGTTTCTTCCAGGGACCCTCCCCAAACCCAGCCTCTGGGCTGAGCCAGGCTCTGTGATTACCTGGGAGAGCCCCATGACCCTCTGGTGCCAGGGGACCCTGGATACCCAGGGTTACTATCTCACCAAGGAAGGAAACCCCATGACCTGGTACCAACAGAGCCCACCAGAGCCCAGGAACAAGACCAACTTCTTCATCCCATCCATGAGAGAGCACCATGCAGGGAGATACCACTGTCACTATCTCAGCCCTGCAGGCTGGTCAGAGCGCAGCGAGCCCCTGGAGCTGGTGGTGACAGGTAAGAGGACACTCAGGGGTCCCAGCCCCAGGCTCTGCCTGCAGGAAGGGGGTCGGCTCTCAAGGGCATCTCCGTTCTAATAACTCAGCCCTGGGGGATGATGTGGGACGCGTGAGCCCCATTTAAGACAGTGTCTCCTTCTCTCCTAGGAGCCCACAGAAAACCCACTCTCTCAGCCCTGCCGAGCCCTGTGGTGACCTCAGGAGAGAACGTGACCCATCCAGTGTAGCTCAAGGGTGGGATTTCACAGGTTCATTTTGATTGAGGAAGGAGAAAACAAGCTCTCCTGGATGCTGGACTCACAGGAACTCTCCAAGGGGCTGTCCCTTGTCCCTGGCCCTGTTCCCTGTGGGCCGTGTGGCTGCCAGTCACCGGTGGATGTTCAGATGCTATGGGCATTACACGAACTTCCCCTGGGTGTGGTCGGAACCCAGTGATACCATGGAGATCCTGGTCTTAGGTATGGATGTCTTCCTCCTTGCCCTATTTATTTTTGAGAACTTACTCTCACGGAGCCCCATGTAGGAGGGTGGAACAAGGGAAGTTTGGGACTCCTGAGCCCAGAGACACTGAGTATGAGAGACAGTGAGACCTGCAGGGCCAGGAGGGGAGAAGGAAGGGGTGTGGGAGGAACCAGCCCTCCTAGTCCCGACTCTTCTTTCCCTCCAGGCGTGTCTAGGAAGCCCTCCCTCCTGACCCTGCAGGGCCCTGTCGTGGCCCCTGGGGAGAATCTGACCCTCCAGTGTGGCTCTGATGTCGGCTATGACAAATTCACTCTGTACAAGGAGGGGGGACATGACCTCGTCCAGGGCTCTGGCCGGCAGCCCCAGGCTGGGCTCTCCCAGGCCAACTTCACCCTGGGCCCTGTGAGGGTCTCCCACGGGGGCCAGTACAGATGCTACGGTGCACACAACCTCTCCTCCGAGTGGTCGGCCCCCAGTGACCCCCTGAGCATCCTGATCGCAGGTGAGGAGCCCAGCAGGTTCAGTCAGGGACCCACGCTCCGCACAGGCCCTGCTGGGGGAGCCCAGGTGGTGATGGCCAGGATGAGGGGTGGGGGTCCCAAGGGAGGGAGAGACAGACAGAGACAGGGGATGGGCGGGTAGAGGGAGACTCAGAGAAAACAGAGACAGAGACTGAGGGTCCCAGAGAGAGGCCTGGGGAGGTGTCAGCTCAGAACGAGGTGGGGCAGCCCCTCACCCATCCTTCTTCTCTCCAGGACAGATCCGTGGCAGACCCTCCCTCTCGGTGCAGCCGGGCCCCACGGTGGCCTCAGGAGAGAACGTGACCCTGCTGTGTCAGTCACGGGAGCAGTTGGACACTTTCCTTCTGACCAAGGAGGGGGCAGCCCATCACCCACTGCGTCTGAGATCAGAGCACCAAGCTCAGCAGCACCAGGCTGAATTCCCCATGAGTCCTGTGACCTCAGCCCACGCGGGGACCTACAGGTGCTACAGCTCACGCAGATTCTTCCCCTACCTGCTGTCTCACCCCAGTGACCCCCTGGAGCTCGTGGTCTCAGGTGAGGCCGCTGACCCTGTCCTCTCTGAGCTCAAACCTCAGCTCAGGCCCTGCCCCCAGGAGAGCTCAGGACGCTAAGGAAAGAGGGGAGTAAAGGGGGAGGGTCGGCAGGGGAGGGCCCAGCCCATGAGAGGGTGGAAATAGTCAGGGACCTCCTAATCCTGGGCTCCCACCCCAGAGACCTCAGATGGGGCTAAAGGCCAGGGAGGGCTGAAATGAGATATGGAGAAACCTTGGAGGAATCATGCTTAGGCTGAGGGTAGAAGATGGAGGCCCCACCCACTCCCCACCTGGGCTCCCCTGGCGGCCCCAAAATACTCAGTGCATACCTGAGACGAAGGGGAGATCATGCACCTGCTCACTGCAGCAATGCAGGCAAATTATTCAACAGCAAACCTCGTGTGCAATTCCTTTCTGTCCTTTATTTTTTATGTCCACATATCTAGTTTCTCTTTCTGTTTCTGAAGATTTCAAAGCAATGCTGGCATTTATAATTTACACATTTAATTTGTTAGGTAGCGTTATGATGTAAAATAACTGTGCTCTGATTTTCTTTGGGATTAAATTAAATATGTGCATTCATGATGGAGAATAACTTCTCATTAATAATGTCTTTGTATCCAATACATTTAAAATTAAACTTTATACAGTTAGCAGATGCTTGAAGTTGTATTCATAAAAATTGTGGACATTGTGAATTTTAAGCATTGTTTTACTACTTGAATAATTTGAAAGTCTTTGATTCCTTTCTATTTTCTAAAATTAGTTACGTATGGATGAGAAAGCTATTGGTTTGGGTATGCTAATTTTAGTTCCTATTAACTTACCACAGACACACTCCCTTTCAATCCTTTCCGAAATGATCTCTTCTGATTTATTGATAATAATTACATTAACCACAAGAAAATGGAGGACAAACTTGTTTGTTTCTAAATTATATAATACTCTTCTCACTTCAAATATATATGTATGTGTTTATATATACTCACACACTATTATATATCTTATAATATATATTATGTATTATATATTTATATATACACTATTATATATCTTATATATTATGTATTATATATTTATATATACCCACACATTATTATATCTTATAATATATATTATGTATTATATATTTATATATACACTATTATATATCTTATATATTATGTATTATATATTTATATATACCCACACATTATTATATCTTATAATATATATTATGTATTATATATTTATATATACACTATTATATATCTTATATATTATGTATTATATATTTATATATACCCACACATTATTATATCTTATAACATATAATGTATTATATATTTATATATACACACACTATTATATATCTTATTATATATTATGTATTATATATTTATATATACTATTATATATCTTATAATATATAATGTATTATATATTTATATATACACACACTATTATATATCTTATATATTATGTATTATATATTTATATATACATACTATTATATATCTTATAATATATTATGTATTATATATTTATATATACACACTATTATATATCTTATTATATATTATATATTTATATATGCACACACTATTACATATCTTATTATATATTTATATGTATACACACACTATTATATATCTTATATATTATATATTTATATATACTCACACTATATCTTATACATATGCATACACATATGCATAATACATATTATCTATACACATATGCATAATACATATTATGTATACACATATGCATAACACATATTATGTATACACACATATTTACACCTATGCATATATGTATGTATGTATGCGAATGTACCTCTGCCACGGCAGGGAAAGGTTCTATCACACAACTACAGAGCAGTTAGGAGAAGTGTAGACACAAAGGAATGCAGCAACTGAGGGACATGTTGGCTTAAGTCTCTTCAACTCCTCACACACCTCCCCCTTTTTTGGTTGATTCTCAGGAGCAGCTGAGACCCTCAGCCCATCGCAAAACAAGACAGACTCCAAGACTGGTGTGTAAGGAGATGCTCTCGGTTATGGGGCTGGCACAGAGGGTCAGGTCCTGTGAAGGGGAGGTGGGTGCCCTGGGTGGACATCCAGGGGTCCAGGGTGATGTTGATCTGCCCTGACCTCTGAGACCTCTTGGTCCACCATCCCCAGCCTCACACCCCCAGGATTACACAGTGGAGAATCTCATCCGCGTGGCTGTGGCTGGCTTGGTCCTGGTGGTCCTCGGGATTCTGCTGCTTTAGGATTGGCACAGCTAGAGAAGTCCCCAAGATGCAGCAAGGAGGTAAATACATGAGAGAACAATGCACCCTTCAGAGTGCCAGAGCCTTGGCAATGAGTCTGATAGTCCTAGGAGGTTCTGGAAGAAAGTCTGGACCATCATTCGGGAAACCGTCTACTGAGAAAGTCGAGAAGGGGAGGCTTGGGTCAGGTTCAGGGAGATGTCTGGGTGCCTGTAGAGAACGCTTCCTCCATTAAACTTCCATTAAATGGCAGTGCTTTCAGTCCAGCTGTTGTGGATCCTCCGTGTCTGCCCCTCCCTTCCTTTCGCTCTCTGTGATGTGAAGGCACGTCCCCCATGGTGGGTTTGCATCCACACCCCTGCGATCACGTGCTCTGGTCCACTGTCCTGTAATACATTTGTCTTTGTTTCCAACTACCGCATTCTCTAAAGTGAACTATTGATTCTCCATCTTTTCAGTTCTGAGCATAGATCTGGATTAAATAACTGGAATAGGTGGGCAGATTTGTATTTGGGACTTTGAAACATGAGTCTGAGGCCAGGCACAGTGGCTCACACCTGTAATCCCAGCACTTTGGGAGGCTGAGGTGGGCGGATCACTTGAGGTCAGAAGTTCGAGACCAACCTGGCCAACATGGTGAAACCCTGTCTCTACTAAAAGATACAAAAATTAGCTGGGTGTGGCAGTGAGCACCTGTAATCCCAGCTGCTCAGGAAGCTGAGGCGGGAGAATAGCTTGAACCCGGGAGGCGGAGGTTGCAGTGAGCCAAGATCTTGCCACTGCACTCCAGCCTGGGCAACAGAGCAAGACTCCATCTCCAAAAAAAAAAAAAAAAAGGGAAATATGAGTCTGAAATGATGCCCTAGCACCCTCTCTGGACCCTGAATTCCCTTCACTCTTCATCGGATGATACCTGTGTACTTTGTCCAGAAATATCATCTCTCAGAATGAGCACACTAACGCTCGAAGGCTCAGCCTCATGGTATTCTGTTAAACTGGCTCTCTGAAAAAATTATTTTCTTAAGAAAACTCTGAACATATAAAGCCCCAGATTTATGGTATTTGCTGATTAGTGTGGTATAAATACGTCCTTTATGGCCAACTTCAGGGTGCCCATATGACGCCATTGAATGCACAGTTGGGAAGTAGTCAAAAGAATTGTCGTTCACACGAGTATGAACCAGTTGTAAAGTTTATTTAAAGGTTATAATAATTTCTGCTTCATTCTTATGGTGTAGTTTCAGTAAAATTGTAATGTCAAAAATCATAGCACAATGGAGGGAAAAGAAAAAAATAGGCCGGGTGTGGTGGCTCATGCCTGTAATCCCAACACTTTGGGAGGCCGAGGCAGGAGGATCACCTGAGGTCAGGAGTTCGAGACCAGCCTGGCCAACATGGTGAAACGCTGTCTCTACTAAAAATACAAAAATTAGCCAGACATGGTGGCGCCTGCCTGTAATCCCAGCTACTTGGGAGGCCAAGGCACGAGAATCGCATGAACCCAGGAGGCGGAGGTTGCAGTGAGCCGAGATCACTACAGCCTGGGTGATAGAGCAAGACTCAGTCTCAAGAAAAGAAAAAAGTAGCAAAATCATTTTTTGGAAAGAATATTGAACATGTAGAATTTTAGTACATTAATAGTAAGAGTACAAATTGCTTTAATCAATTAAGGAAGTGTATTGGAATTATCTAGTTAAAAAGAGGAGGCACATGGCTGTGACCCTTCTTAATTATGTACTTAATTATGTACCCTAGAGATAAATGTCTACTTATGTGTCATGATACACTCACAACTGTTATAGGAATGCTGTTCCTATTAGCCAAAGCTATAAAATACCAAAGTCCACCTACGAAAAAAATAAACATAGTGTGGTAAATAGACTCAGTGGAATATTACAAGGTAGTAAAATGCATAAATGAAAATAACAAACAGCACCATACTTCAATTTTCAAGCATAAAGTCAAGTAAATGAAGTATTATTTGAAAATGTGTGCATGGTTATTTCATTACATAAAGGTCAAAAGGAGGGTACATTTATTATTTAGGAAAACACACCTAAGATATCTTTGTAAAATCTGTAAAATCAATAGTACTGTTTCCCCTCTTTCATTCCTTATCTTGAAAATGCTTGTCTCTTTTTCTGCCATGGCTTTCTACCTTGCTTGATATATTACAATTTTGTAACCTGCTTATTTCATCATATGTCATAAGTTCACATGTATATCCCATGAATTATTGAGGGTCTTATTCATTTCAAGTGGCATTTAGGTTTTTAAAAATATCTTTTGGCGACCAGGTGCAGTGGCTCATGCCTGTAATCCCAGCACTTTGGGAAGCCAAGGCAGGTGGATCACGAGTTCAAGAGACAGAGATCATCCTGGCGAACATGGTGAAACCCCGTCTCTACTAAAAATACAAAAAAAAAAAAAATTAGCTGGGCATGGTAGAGGGTGCCTGTAGTCCCAGCTTCTCAGGAGGCTGAGGCGGGAGAATGGCGTGAACCCGAGAGACGGAGGTTGCAGTGAGCCGAGATCGTGCCACTGCACTCCAGCCTGGCAACAGAGTGAGACTCTGTCTCAAAAAAAAAAAAAAAGAAAGAAAGAAAGGAAGAAAAAAAAATCTTCTGGCATTAACTATTAAGAAATTGCACTATAAAAAGAGAATATAATGCATAAGACGGCAATTTGAAAAGATTCAGATATAATTTTTTCTTATCTAGTAAATACTTAGTAATTTGTCTAATGCATGCCTTAAATACATACCACTTTATGCAGAGGTTGCCATGAGCCGAGATCGCGCCGTTGCACTCTAGCCTGGGTGGCAGAGCAAGACTCCATCTCAAAAAAAAAAAAGAAAATCTCACAGAAGGAGACCCAGAGCTTCCAGCCTCGCCCAGAGTCTTGGCTCACTCCCTGTGTGTGTGGACCCTAGGGAGCCTCTTCTGTTCCCCACAGAGGTGGAAACTTCCTCCTTAATAACCCCTTGATGGTCCCAGGCACTGGTGACCATTGAGCTTTGCTCTCTCTTTTTTCTTATGGTTCCCTGTCTACTTCCAGGGCTATCACTTTACTTTTTGTGCATTAGACCATGAATAATGTTTTAGAAACATTCTATCAAATTTCTCAGTGCTAGGAACAACTGAGGTTTTTGATTGGGTGCCTCAAATGTCTACCCTTACTGTGGAGTCCGACAACAGGATTCTAACAAGTCCCAACCCCTTCATGCCTTAACCTGGTCTGGAAATAAATTATGTTTAAGCCATCCCATACCCCAGCCACATCAAGCCCCACAACCACTCTGAGAAGTGAGATTTATAGCAAAATGCTCCAAACAAGGTAACTAAGGTTCAGACAAGGGATGTTAATGTGTCCATTTACATAAACAAAAAATGGTAGATGATCAGCTTTCCCTTTGAAATCAGAGTACTAATCCGACTCATTGTTCCCTGAATTTTAGAGGCAGGACCTCAGGAGGAGCTAAGAATCCTACCCCAGGAAAATTACCAATATCAGAAAGGAAACAATGACATCAGTACAGATCCTACAGAATTCAAAAGATTCTAAGTGGACATTATGAAGACATTATTCAGCTTAGATGAAGTGGTCACATATCACAAGAAAACAAACTGTCTAAAACAATCTCTGAAATACCTAGACATTCCCTGAATCATTGAGTTATTAAATAAAATACATTTTAAAATTAAACTCTTTTCAGGAAATAAACTTCAATGTCCCCTAGTGCACTCTCCAAAACATGCAGATAGGAATAAATACTGTTCTGAAAGACATTTCCCTGGAATTACAACCATTCAATATATTTTAAAAGGCAATCATAAAAATATAAAAAGGATATATCAGGAGAAGAAATGTAAATGGCCTAAATTCCCCACATAAAAGGCATAGAGTGGCAACGTGGATAAAAAGCCAAGAGCCAACTGCCTGCTGTCTTCAAAAGACTCATCTCACATGTAATGACACCCACAGGCTCAATGTAAAAGGATGAAGAAATATTTACTAGGCAACCAGGAAACAAAAAAAAGGAAGGCATTCCTATTCTTATATCACATGAAACACACTTTAAATCAACAGCAATCAGGAAGGACAAAGAAGGGCATTACAAAATGATAAAGGGTTCAATTTGACAGAAGACTTAACTATTCTAAATATATATGCACCCAAATTTGGAGCACCCCGATTCATAAAACAAGTTATTCTTCACCTATGAAAAGAGTTAGACAGCCACACAATAATAGTAAGGAACTTCAGTATCCCACTAACAACGTCAGATGAATCACTAAAACAGAAAACTAACAAAGAAATTCTGGTCTTAAAGACAACACTTGACCAATTGGACCTCATAGACATCTACAGAGTACTCCACCCAACAACTGCAGAATATAGATTCTTCTTATCTGCACACACAAAAAACATATCATATTCTAAGACTGGCCACAAAGCAAGTCTCAATAAATTCAAAGAATCAAAATCATAACAAGGCACACAATAAAAATAGAAAAAAATACCAAGATGATCTCTCAAAACTACAGAAAAACATGGAAATTTAACAACTTGTTTCGGAATGAATATTAAGAGCCATCTATGACAAATCCACAGCCAACATCATATTGAATGGTCAAAAGCTGGAACTGTACCCCTTGAGAACTCTTGGGTGAACAATGAAATTAAAGCAGAAATCACAAAACATTATTTAAAATTAATAAAAATAGAAACAAACTTACCAAAACCTTTGGGATGCAGTTAAAGCAGTGATAAGAGGAAAATTTATAGCAATACATGCCTCATCAGAAGTTTAGAAAGATCTCAAATTAGTGACTTAACACTGCATCTAGAGGAACTATTAAAAAAAAGGAACAGTCCAAACCCAAGGCCAGCAAAAGATGAGAAATAACTAAAGTCAGAGAGAACTGAATAAATTGAGACCAAAAAGTCCATACAAGAGATAAATAAAACCAAGAGTTTTTCTTTGAAAAAAAAAATAAACAAAATTCATAGACTGTTAGCTAGATTAACAAAGAAAAAGAGAAAAGATCCAAATAAGCACAAATAGAACTGACAAAACAATGTTACGAACAATCCCACAGAAATAGAAAAGATTGTCAAAGACTATTATGAACACCTCTATACAAACAAGCTAGAAAACCTAGAAGAAATGGATAAATTCCTGGTAACACAAAATTTATCATATTTCAACCAGGAAGAAAGTGAAAACCTGAACAGACCAATAACAAGTTCAGAAATTTAATCAGTAATAAAAACCCTACTAACTAAAAATAGCCCAGGACCAGATGGATTCACAACCGAAATCCAACAGCCATACAAAGAAGAACTGATACCGATCCTACTGAAACTTTTGGAAAAAATCAAGGAGTGGGGGCTTCTTCCTAACTCATTCTATGAAGCCATCATCACCATGATACCAACATCTGTCAGAGACATAATGAAAAAAAGAAAACTACAACTAAATATCCTTAATGAACATAGACACAAAAATCCTCAACAAAATGCTAGCAAATTGAATCTGTCAGTGCATCAAAAGTTAATTCACATGATCAAGTAAGCTTTATTTTTGGGATGCAAGGTTGGTTCAACCTACAAAGTCAACGAATGTGATTCACCTCATAAACATAATTAAAAACAAAAACTATATGATCATCTCAATAGATGCAGAAAAAGCTTTCTGTAAAATCCAACATCCCTTCATGATAAAAACTGTCAATAGGCATCAAAGGAACATACCTCAAAATATTAAGAGCCATCTATGACAAACCCACAGCCAACATCATATTGATGGGCAAAAGCTGGAACCATACCCCTTGAGAACTGAAACAAGACCAGGATGACCACTCCCGCCGTTTTAATTCAACATGGTACTGGAAGTCCTAGCCAAAGCAATCAGGCAAGAGAAGGAAATAAAAGGCATTAAAATTGGAAAAGAAGTAGTGATACTGTCTCTCTTTGCTGATGAAATAATTTTATACATAGAAAACCCTAAAGACTCTGTCAGAAGGCTCCTGAAACTGATAAACAAATTCAATAAAGTTTCAGGATTAAAAAAATGTACACAAATTAGTAACATTTCTATGCACCACTAACATTCTAGCTGAGAACTAAATCAAGAACACAATCCCATTTACACTAGCCACAAAGAAAATAAAATACCTAGGAATCCATCTAACCAAGAAGGTGAAAATTCTCTACAAAGAGAACTACAAAACACTTCTGAAAGAAATAAGAAATGATACAAACAAATGGAAGAATATTCCATGCTCATGAATTAGGAGAACAAATAGTTAAAATCGCCATACTTCCAAAAACAAATTGCAGACTCAATGCTATCCATTTCAAAATGCAATGTCATTTTTCACGAAATTATAAAAATTTATTCTAAAATGTATTTGGCACCAAAAAAGAGCCTGAATACACATAGGAATCCTAAGCACAAAGAACAAAGCCCAGGCATCACATTACCCAACTTCAAACTATACTACAATGCTATAGTAACCCAAACAGCATGATACTACTACAAAAACAGACACATAGACCAATGAGACAGAATAGAGAACCCAGAAATGAGGCTACATACCTACAATCATCTTTGACAAAATTGACAAAAACAAGCAATGTGGAAAGTACCCTTTCTTCAATAAATAGTTCTGGGATAACTGACTACTCATATGCAAAATAATAGAACTGGACCCCTAACTCTCACTATATACAAAAATTAACCCAAGATAGTTTAAAGATTTAAATGTAAAACCTCAAAATATTAAAATTCTAGAGGAAAACCGAGGAAATATCCTTCTCAAGATAGACTTTGGCAAAGAATTTATGGCTAACTCCCCAAAACCAATTGTGACAAAGACAGAAATTGGGACCTAACTCAACTGAAGAGCTTCTGCACAGCAAACGAAAGTATCAACAGAGTAAACAGATAACCTACAGACTGGGAGAAAATATTTGCAAACTATGCATCTGACAAAGTTCTAATATCCAGAATCTATAAGGAATGTAAACAAATCAACAAGCAGAAAACCAAAAAACCTCAATTAAGAATGACATGAACAGACACTTCTCAAAAGAAGATGTACACATGGCCAAAAAACATATGAACAAATGCTTATTATCAGTAATCATCAGAGAAATGCAAATTAAAACCACAGTGAGATACCATCTCACAACAATCAGAGAGGCAGAAGCAATTACTAAAAAGTTTTCTGTTTTTTTTAATAACAGCTGCTGACAAGATTGTGGAGAAAAGGGAACACTTATACACTCTTGGTGGGAATGTTAACTAGTTCAGCCAATGTGATAAGCAGTTTGGAGACTTCTCAAATAACTTAAAATAGAACTACTATTCAATCAAGCAATCCCACTACTGGGTATATACCAAAAGGAAGGTAATTAACTATGTCAAAAAGACACATGCACTAGTATATTCATTGCTGTGCAATTCAGAATAGCAAAGATTTGCAGTCAACCTAAGTGCTCACCAACAGTGGATTAGTTAAAGAAAATGTGCTACATATACACATGGAACATTACATGGCCATAAAAAATAATGAAATCATGTCCTTTGCAGCAACATGAATGTAGCAGGAGGTCAATCTCCTAAGTGAACTAACCCAGGAACAGAAAACCAAATACCACATGTTATCACTTATAACTGAGAGCCAAACATTGAATACACATAAACATAAAGATGGAAACAACAGATACCGAGGACTACAGATGGGGGGAGGAGTAGGGAGGTATAGGCTGAAGAAACACCTGTTGGATTCTATGCTCATTGCCTGGGTGATGGCATTGTTGGAACCACAAACCTCAGAGTCACACAATATGCCTATGTAACAAACCTGCATGCGTACCTTTAATCTACAGTAAAGGTTGAAGTTATTTAAAAATAGGAAGAAGAATTACCCTATACCTAAAGCTAAGATTTTTCCCTTTGAATATTTGTTTCTTCATCACTGTAGATAAGCAGGGAAAGAAAAATTATTATACTATACTAGCCTTTTATGTGACCATGAGGATTTGGGGTAGGTAGGTGGACAGCTTAGATAATTCACCAGGATATTGATACAGGCTCCATGGCTGGAAATAACCAAGGATGAGTGCTGTGTTTTGAGTGGTCTCCCCCAGAAACGTTTGTTGAAATCCTAACCCCTGGTATGTATGAATGTGAATTCATATTATATAAAAAGGAATAAATAGCCTGAGCACAGTGGCTCACACCTGTAATCCCAGCACTTTGGGAGGCCAAAGCAGGTGGATCATTTGAGGTCAGGAGTTCTGGCCAATATGGCAAAACTTCATCTCTACAAAAAAAAATACAAAAAAAAAAATTGGCTGGGTATGGTGGCGCATGCCTGTAGTCCCAGCTACTCAGGAGGCTGAGGCAGGAATTGCTGAAACCTGGAAGGCAGAGGTTGCAGTGAGCCAAGATCATGCCACTGCACTCCAGCCTGGGTGAGACGGCAAGATATTCTGTCAAAAATAAATAAATAAAAAACAGAAGAAGAAATACAAGAATGACAGCAAACTTTGTATTCAAAACTATGAAAGTAAGAAATAGGTGGACCAACATTTTTAAAGTGCTACAAGAAAATATTTCAAACTAGAATCTTTCAACCTGAAAAGGAAAACATTTTCCTGCAATAAAGGTGCCATTAAAAATGTCTCACAATTTATTACATGAAGCATTGTTCTACAATAAATGTTAAGCTCTTGAAGCAAAGATTAATGATACCATTTAGTAACTTGAAATTCAAAAAAGTGGAAGTATCCCAAGAGGCAAATACGTGTGCAATTATTAAATGTTTCATATCAACACCCAACCTTATGCTGTCTACATAAGCTGCACTTCAAATACTAATCCACAAGATGTAAATATTGAAAGAATGACATTACATTGTCATGATAATGCCCAGTGCAAAATATGCTTCTAGTCAGTTGTATACATAGAATAGGTAAATGTTTGTAATAAAAAGTATTCCTCAATAGAAGTTTCTTAACTCAAAGAATGAAATATTTCAACATGCACATACAAAGAAGAGATATATGGAGATATGAAGAGGAGTACTTCATAATGACAAAGAGGCAAATTCATAAATAAGACATAATAATCCTAAATGCCTACACACCTAAAGCTGGAACCTCAAAACACATTAAATTAAAGGCATAATTCAAAACATAATCAATCACATCCAAATTGCAGCTAGAGATAGCAACATTCACCTCACTTCCAGAACAAGTACACAGAAAATTATTAAGCATATGAAAGACTTGAAAAACATTTGTGTAGGCGGCAGGTGCATAAGGTTGGGTGTTGATATGAAACATTTAATAATTTCAATAATCCTAGCACTTTGGGAGGCCAAAATGGGAGGATCACTTGAGGCCAGGAGTTTGAGACCAGCCTGGGCACCATAGTGAGACCCCGTCTCTATTTTTTTTAAATAAAGAAAAACATTTGAATGATTTTTTTCTTAACTGACATTTAGAAAACATCCACCTCAAATCTTCCTAATCCACAAACTTGTCTAGCACCCCTGGAACATTCACCAAAATAAATTTTTAAATGCTGAATCATAGGTAATATGATAGATGAAACAGTTGAATTAAATTATAAATGTACAACAAGGAAATGCTGGGGAAATTATCAAATATTTTAAAATTAATAAACACACATAGCAATAAACAATGAGTGGAAGAAAAACATTTCAAAGAAAGGTGGAAAATATTTTGTATCAATTAAAAATGAAAACACATCTCGGCAAATGACTGGGGATACAGATAGAACAGTGTTAAAGGAAAATAAGCCTCAAATGTCTGTGTTAGAAAAGAAGGAAGAGCTGAGTAAATAGGTAACTTTCGCTTGCAGAAATACTACACATCAGCAAATTAATTCCAAAGTAACGTCGAGGAAAAACATAAAATGGCAAGCAAATATATACGTGCATATGTACGTATATTCATAAATGACAAACAGGACAGAAAAATCAGTGACATCAATTTTGTTCCTTAGAAGAAACAGGAAAATTGACCCCAAAAAACTTTCCAGGCCACATTTGGTCATGATGGAAATATTTTGGCACTTCCTGGTTAAGCTCAACACCAACTTGCACCCAAAACCAATAATTTCATTCCTAGGTAAATATGTCTAATTAATTCAGCATATGTATGCAAGGGATCACACAGAAACACGATTATCAAGGCCCGAGTTATAAAAGAGAAAATCCGGAAACAACACAAATGTCCATGATAAAAAGAGTGGATAATTACATGTTGATAAAGTTATGTATGGACTATTAAACTGCAATCCAAAAGAATAAAATAGAGCTATAAAATTCAATATGTATATGGTGTCATAGAAACACAAATGTGAGAAAAAGAAAGAAAAATACAAAATTTATATTTTTTAAAATTTGAAACAACTATATATGTGAGTGCTTAGGGTGTGTGTGTGTGTGTGTGTGTGTATAACCATATGTATATAAATGCACACATACGCACACATATAGAATGTCCCGGCCAGGCATGGTGGCTCACACCTGTAATCTCAGCACTTTGGGAGGCTGAAGTAGACAGATCACTTGAGGTTAGGAGTTCAAGACCAGCCTGGCCAACATGGAGAAACCTCCTCTCTACTAAAAGTACAAAAATTAGGTGGGCGTGATGGTGGGTGCCTGTAAATCCAGCTACTTAGGAGGCTGAGGCACGAGAATTGCGTGAACCTGGGAGGTGGAGGCTGCAATGAGCCGAGGTCTCACCACTGCATTCCAAACTGGGTGACGAAGTGAGATTGCGTCTCAAAAAAAAAAAAAGTTCTAAAAGTTGTGACTTGGGTGTGGCAGATTGTGACATACTGCCAGCTGCTAGAAATGCTGGGGCAGGAGGATTGCTTGAACTCTGAAGTCAAAGAACAGCCTGGGGAAAATAGCACATGAAGAAGAGTTTGAATCTCAGATAAAAACAACAAAAATACATCAAAAGTCTTTAATGTAAGCCAAGCATTCAGTCATCTCCTGTATGAGAGATTGGATCTGAGACGTGTTTTGAGTTGGTTATAGTGAAGGATGCAAGGTGTCAATTCTAGTTGGAACAATTTCCAGGAAGCCATGTTCCGCTCTTGACCAAACAGCCACTGGGCCTCATGCAAGGTAGAAATAGCCTGCATACGTCATCCTCCCATGATGTGGTCAGCATGTAAACTGCATGAGCCCCTCACAACATCCTGTGTGCTGCTGAACTGAGCTGGGGCGCAGCCGCCTGTCTGCACCGGCAGCACCATGTCGCTCATGGTCGTCAGCATGGCGTGTGTTGGTGAGTCCTGGAAGGGAATCGAGGGAGGGAGCGCTGGGGTGGAGATCTGGGCCTGGAGTGGAGATCTGGGCCTGGAGTGGAGATATGGGCCTGGAGTGGAGATATAGGCCTGGAGTGGAGATATGGGCCTGGGGTGGAGATATGGGCCTGGAGTGGAGATATGGGCCTGGAACTGTAGATATGGGCCTGAAGTAGAGATATGGGCCTGGAGTAGAGATATGGGCCTGGAACTGTAGATATGGGCCTGGAGTGGAGATATTGGCTTGGAGTGCAGATATGGACCTGGAATTGAGATACGGGCCTGGAGGTGGAGATATGGGCCTAGAGTGGAGATATGGGCCTGGAGGTGGAGATATGGGCCTGGAACTGTAGATATGGGCCTGGAGTAGAGATACGGGCCTGGAGTGGAGATGTTGGCTTGGAGTGCAGATATGGGCCTGGAATGGAGACACGGGCCTGGAGGTGGAGATACAGGCCTGGAGGTGGAGATATGGGCCTGGAGTGTAGATATGGGCCTGGAGTAGAGATATAGGACGGAGGTGGAGATATAGGCCTGGAGTGGAGATATGGGCCTGGAGTAGAGATATAGGACGGAGGTGGAGATATAGGCCTGGAGTGGAGATATGGGCCTAGAGGTGGAGATATGGGCCTGGAGTGGAGATATGGGCCTGGAGGTGATGTACAGATGGATCATCCATCATGATCTTTCTTTCCAGGGTTCTTCTTGCTGGAGGGGCCCTGGCCACATGTGGGTGAGTCCTTCCCCCAAACCTTAGGTTGTCATCTCCCCACATAAGATGATGCTCCTGAAACGGGAGGCAGGCGACACAGGGGGTTGACTGATGGGCTGACCATGGGAAGCCATGTGGGAATCTCTCATGAACTAGGAAAAGGAAGCCAGGGGAAGCTTCGCCACAGTTCTGTCCTAGCCCTCCCCGGCCTTTCTTTCCCTTGGCTGAGTCTGTGGGGACCCAGGGGGAGACTGAAGTGCTCAAAGGAGTGGTGTGCAGGGAGGAAGTGGTGTCACCGGCAGAGGAAGGGAGAGAAGCAGTGCAAGGAACAACAGGCCTCTGAGGACAAGAGCATAACTCACACCCTCCAGCGTTTCCATGACGGTAGGGGCTGCAATGTGGCTGCTGTCATTCTACCTAAGAGGTGGGGGAACCACAGTCATGACCCTGACATTCCAGATCTTCTAATAGGGGCTCAGTTGTTTATTATGGTTCATGCATTAGCTGATCATGCCCTCCATCCTGTGTCTACCTTGTGTTCTTTTATGTAAGTAATTTTGCAGTGTTAAAATCTAGTAAGAGTCGCTTCTTCAGCACCTGCTCAAAGTTCTCAGCTGACACTTGCTGTAGGGAGACGCCATGTCTATGCGGGATGGGTCCTTCCTGTAGCCCTGGGCACCCAGGTGTGGTAGGAGCCTTAGAAACATGGAAATGGGAGAATCTTCTGAGCACAGGGAGGGAGGGGCGGCTCCACATCCTCCTCTCTAAGGTGGTGCCTCCTTCTCCCCCAGGTGGTCAGGACAAGCCCTTCCTCTCTGCCTGGCCCGGCACTGTGGTGTCTGAAGGACAACATGTGACTCTTCAGTGTCGCTCTCGTCTTGGGTTTAATGAATTCAGTCTGTCCAAAGAAGACGGGATGCCTGTCCCTGAGCTCTACAACAGAATATTCTGGAACAGCTTTCTCATGGGCCCTGTGACCCCAGCACATGCAGGGACCTACAGATGTTGCAGTTCACACCCACACTCCCCCACTGGGTGGTCGGCACCCAGCAACCCTGTGGTGATCATGGTCACAGGTCAGAGGCTTTCTGTCTGGGCTTCTCACTGTCCCACCTCCTGAATCCCAGAGCTTCTGGTGGGGGCGTCCATCAGGGTCCAATCATCCAGGCCCCGACTGTATTTGGGGTAAAGGGGGATTCAGTACAGAGAAATAGTTGCTGTGGTGGGAAGAATAATTGTCCCCAGTGATGGCTACATGGTAATCCATGAACCCTGTGACTATTTATGTTTTAGGGCAGGGGACTGAAGAGGAAGATGGAGCTCAGGTTGTTGATGAGTTGACCTTGCGATGGGGAGACAGCCTGGACTGTCCTGCTGTGCTCAGAGTAATCACAAGGGTCCTCATGAGAGGAAGAGGAAGAGGAAAGTGGGGTTAGAGCAACGTCGTGGGAGGGAGACTCCATCAGCCACAGCAGGCTTTGAAGATGGGGGAAGGCCATGAGCCACAAAGGCAGGTGGCCTCTAAGGGCTGGAGAAGTCAAGGGAACTGATTCTTCCCTGAGTCTCCAGAGGAAACACAGCCCTGCAGATGCCTTGATTTTAGCCCAGAGAGAACTGGGTCCGATTTCTGTTCTCCAGAAGTGGAAGGGGTCATTGTATTCTCTCCTGCCCCATGTTTGTGACAATTTTCTCCAGCAGCAACAGGAAACCAACACAGGAACCCAGGTGAAGCACAGGTTAAGAAACCAAACAAGGAGAAGTTTGGCTACACTGATTTTAGCATGGGTGGGATACTGATGCTACCACCAGGCTCGATCCACATAGGGAGGGGTTGATGCTCCTGGAACCAGCACCAGGGGCCACCCTATGGAAGCTGGGGCCATGGAGAAGGCACAGACATGACAGGAGAGGCTCCCAATCCCCATCAGGAACAGGGACACTGATGCCTGCCTTACTGATGAGTTCGTACCTCCTGCCAGCCTTTCCAATCTGTCCAAAAGAGATTGATTCAGGCTGCTAAGAGCCTGGACATGCAGCCTGTCGTGGTTCCTCTTCCACCCCCACATAAACACCAGGAAAGAGATTAGTGGGAAACAGATACAACAGCATAAGAGGTGACACTGAGCACAGTGGGAAGGGAATCAGGGCTACTAGAGACAGAGAGACAGGGAAGAGGGAGGGAGACAGATGGAGGGACCTGCAACAGGGGTTATGGGCACAAAAGAACACGGAGACACAGAGAGGAAGGAGAGAGATAGACACCATGGAGGGGAAGCCTCACTTATTTCAGGTCCCATGAATGGGATGAGAAAGGGAGACGCCTTCTGAACTCACAACCTCTCTTCTTAGGAGTCCACAGAAAACCTTCCCTCCTGGCCCACCCAGGTCCCCTGGTGAAATCGGGAGAGACGGTCATCCTGCAATGTTGGTCAGATGTCAGGTTTGAGCGCTTCCTTCTGCACAGAGAGGGGATCACTGAGGACCCCTTGCGCCTCATTGGACAGCTCCACGATGCGGGTTCCCAGGTCAACTATTCCATGGGTCCCATGACACCTGCCCTTGCAGGGACCTACAGATGCTTTGGTTCTGTCACTCACTTACCCTATGAGTTGTCGGCTCCCAGTGACCCTCTGGACATCGTGGTCGTAGGTGAGAGAATACAGACCTGCCTCTCACCCTTGCTGGGAGATGGAGTGAATGATCTAGGACTGGAAGCCCCAGGTGGTCATGAGGAAGATGAGTGTGGGGTTCCTATGGAGAGAAAGTGACTTGGTGAGGTCTGTACCAACAAAGGCAGAGAAACAGGAGACACAAGTACAGACCTCATGTCATAACATAGAAGCCAGACACAGGGGCCATACAAGGTGTTAGAAAAAGAGATAAAGAGGTAAAGAAGACACAGAGAGACAGATATATCCCAGAGAGAGGTGTCCTTCTATGCTGACTTTGTTCAGAGACCAGGCACAGGTTAGAAGGTTCCATTCTGTTTTACCTCTACAAAGTGTTCTCTCCCAGGAGAACCCAAAGAGACACATCTATCTGGCCTGAGTTGGGCCGTGTGGCCCCAGGCTGGTGGCACCTACAGATGCTGTGTTTATTCTTAAACCTCTGCCTTCCGTGCAGTGGAGCTGTCGTCGTCGCAGGACACCATGGCCCCAGGTGAGGGAGCAGAACACCAACCCCTGTATGTTGTGAGTTCCTGGAGTCCCCATACTGGATTCTGAGGCTCATATTCAAATAGCACCACATGTTATAGGATTACTGAGAACAAAAGCCCACAGAGAGACACGGAGTGAAATCAGGGAAATCAAAAAGCAAAGACATGAACACACACACAGAATGAGCCAGAAGAAGGGAATTGAGAGACTCACAGACACATAAAGAGATAGAAAAAGAGGGCAGAGAAGTGGAGCGTATGATGGAAGGAAGCAGAGAAAAGCCCTAAAATCAGAGCCCTGAGGGAGGGGCACAAAGACAGGGAAAGATAAAGATGTGGGGATGGATTGCAGAGACTCCAAAAGGGAACTAGAGAGACTGAGAGGCAGAGAAAGACAAGGAGATGGAGAGAGACAGATGATAGATGGATAGATAGATACAGATAGATGAAAGATAAAAGGTAGATGATAGATAATAGAGAGACAGGTGATAGACAAATAGATGATGAATGACTGATAGATGATATAGATAGACAAGTAGAAAGACAGACAGATGATATATAAATAGATATAGAGAGATAGAAAGACAGATAAACACATGATGATAGATGGATAGATGCATACATACATACATTGATTGATAGATGATAGATAACAGAGAGATAGGTCATAGATACACAGATGATGATAGATGATAGATACATACATAGATAAATGATAGATCGATCAATAGATAGTAGATAGAAATATGCAGAAAGTTATGAGCAAGACAGAAAGTGAGAGACTCAGAATTAAAGAAAGAGGAAGATCAAGTCAACCAGTCCAAGGAGGGTCAGAGAGAATAAAATGGTACAAAAAAAGAAAACATAGCTAGGGATGGAGAAGTGAGGTCAGAGACCTAGAGAGACAGAGAAGGTGGAAGGAGGAAATAGACATGAAGAGAGATGGGGGTGGAGGGTGAGAGAGAGAAAGAGAGCATTAAGTCATAGAGCAGGGGAGTGAGTTCTCAGCTCAGGTGTGAGGAGAGCTGTGACAACGAAGAACCTCCCTGAGGAAACCACCTCTTCTCCTTCCAGGTCTATATGGGAAACCTTCTCTCTCAGCCCAGCCGGGCCCCACGGTTCAGGCAGGAGAGAATGTGACCTTGTCCTGCAGCTCCCGGAGCTTGTTTGACATTTACCATCTATCCAGGGAGGCAGAGGCCGGTGAACTTAGGCTCACTGCGGTGCTGAGGGTCAATGGAACATTCCAGGCCAACTTCCCTCTGGGCCCTGTGACCCACGGAGGGAACTACAGATGCTTCGGCTCTTTCCGTGCCCTGCCCCACGCGTGGTCAGACCCGAGTGACCCACTGCCCGTTTCTGTCACAGGTGAGAAAACACCATGCCTGTCCCATGTCTTGTGATCCTAGAGCCATAGCTGAGGAGCTTCCTGCTGATGATGGAGAGAAGCATGGACAGATGCCGAGACAGAACACACAGCATGGGTGTAAGGGCGGGGTCAGGGGGCAGGATGGCAGACAGGGCACCTCCAAACCCTCCTGTATGGCCTGCAAGGAGGCCCTTGATCAGGGTTCCAGGCACCCAGGCAGATGGAGAAAGAGGTCAGAACAGACCCAGAGGAGGGAGACTGGGCTCTGCCTGGGGAGATCAGAGGTTCTCTCAGCCCCTCAACCTTACCCACTTCCCAGAAGCCCATCCTGGCCTGTCACCCACAGAGAGATGTCATCACCAGCAACGCCTACACCCTTTTCTTTTTGTTTGAAGAAATATTTATTGAGGTGAAATATACCTATGTAATTTACCACCTTTACCATTTTTAAGTGTGAAGTCTACTGTTCATAAATACATTTATAGGCTGGGCACGGTGGCTCACTGTTGTAATCCCAACACTTTGAGAGGCCAAGGCAGGTGGATCATTTGAGATCAGGGGCTCAAGACCACCCTGGCCAACATGGGGAAAATCCATCTGTACTAAAAATACAAAATAATAATAATAATGATAATAATTAGCCGAGCATGGTGGCACATGCCTGTAGTCCCAGCTACTTGGGAGGGTTGGGCAGGAGTTGCACTTAATTGCAGGAGGCGGAGGTTGCAGTGAGCTGAGATCATGCCACTGCACTGCAGCCTGGGCAACAGAGAGAGACACTCTCTCAAAATTAATTAATTAATTAATTAGTATTCTTTTTTTTTTACCCTCCACCCTTCCCTTCCTGGCCTCTGGTAGCCACCATTCTACTCTCTACCTTTGTGAGATCCACCTTTTAGCTCCTGCATATGAGTGAGAAATGGAAATACTTGTAATGACCTCCAGTTCCATTCATGTGGCTGTAAATGACAGGATGTTACTCTTTCTATGGATGAGTTGTCCCTATTGTGTGTGTGTACCACATTCTCTCCATCCATTCACCCACTGATGGGCAGGTAGGTTGATCCACATCTTGGCTACTGTGAACACTGCTGGAACAGTCATGGGAGTGCAGATGTCACTTCGATACGCTGATGTCCTTTCCTTTGGGTTTACACCCAGTCATGGAATTGCTAGATCCTCTGGAAGTGTCTTTTTACATTTTGTTTTATGGTTTTTGTTTTTGTTTTTGTTTTTTTTAGACAGTTTCACTCTTGTTGCCCAGGCTGGAGTGCAGTGGTGCCATCTGGGCTCACTGCAACCTCCACCTCCAGGATTCAAGAGATTCCCCAGCCTCAGCCTCCCAAGTAGCTGGGTTACTGGCTCCCACCACCACACTCGGCTAATTTTTATATTTTTAGTAGAGACAGAGTTTCGCTATATTGGCCAGGCTGCTCTTCAACTCCTGACCTCAAGTGACCTACCCACCTCGGCCTCCCAATGTGCTGGGATTACAGGCATGAACCACTGTGCCCGACCTCATTTTATTTTTTGAGGAACTTCCATACTCTTCTCCTCTGTAATGGCTGTACTAATTTACATTCGTATCAGCAGTGTACCAGATGCAACCCTGGTTGACTCAGCAGAGCAAGAGACGTGCAGTAAGAGAGAATTTAGCTTATTTATGCACACGACACTTCCACTCACTCACTCGTTCAGCCAATGCCCCATGCTCTGGCTGTGCAGTGTGGAATCTTTTCCTATTGTTGCCATAACAAATTTCCACAAGCTTCGTGGATGAAAACATGTTTTTCTTAATTATCTCACAGTGCTGTAACTCAGAAGTATGAACTGCATTTCACTGGGCTGATATCAAAGGGAGAGTAAGGCTGGATTTCTTTTTAAGGTTCCAAGCAAGAATCTGCTCCTTAACGTTTCCCAGCTCCTAGAGGCTCCCACGTTCCTGGGCCCCTGGTCCCCTTCCTCCTTCCTCCTTCCTCAAAGCCCACAAAGGCTGGTCACGTCTCACATGGCATCATTCAGACTCTTCTTCTTTACCCACACCTTTTTCTCTGAATCCTGCTCTGCCTTCTTCCTCATCTTTTAAGGACTTTGGGATTCTATTGGGGTCACCAAGATAATCCATCTCAATCTCCCTAAAATCATCCAGCGTACCCTCTTTTTAAGTTCAGCTGATTAGCAACCGTAATGCCATCTGCAATCTTCATTCCTCCTTTCCTGTAAAATAACATATTCACAAGCTATGGAGGCTAAGACAGGGACATTTTGGGGGTGGGGCAGCATTCTCCTGCCTTCCACAAATGGTAAACAGGATGCATTTGGCCTCTGCTCTTGGGACGCTGATATTGCAGATGGGTAAATGCGAGGGCAGAGAATGAATGCACAAGGGTACCAATAAATGAATGATCCATTGGGAAGCATCTGTGCACCAAATCTGGGGTTTTTTTTGTGTGTGTGTTTTTTTTGTTTTCTTTTTTTTTTTGAGTAGAGTCTCTCTTTGTTCCACAGGCTGGAGTGCAGTAGCACAATCTCAGCTCATTGCAACCTCTGCCTCCTGGGTTCATGCAATTCTCCTGCCTCAGCCTACCGAGTAGCTGGGATTACAGCTGTGCGCCACCACACTCGGCTAATTTTTTTGGTATATTTTTTAGTAGAAATGAGGTTTCACCATGTTGTGCAGGCTGTCTCAAACTCCCAATCTCAAGTGATCCCACCGCCTTAGCGTCCCTAAGTGCAAAGATTACAGGCGAGAGCTACTGCGCCCAGCCAGGATTTAAAATAAGTAATAGATAATGCTGAGTATATAATTTCAGGTGACAGAGAAGGTCTCACTGATCAGATAATATTTGTGACCTTAATGGAAAAAATGGATTCAACCCTTGGAAGATTGGCGGAAGGATTTTCCACACTGAGCTCTCAGCCGTGAAGGCACAAAGGTGGAAACATTCTTAGTTCAAGGAAGAGGCTCTGCCTCAAATGCTGGGAATGAAGTGGGGAGAATGACAAGACAACTGTAGAGAGATGGAGAGCACACTGGGTACACAGGAAACTAAGGAGGAACAAGGAGCGTGTGTTTGATACTCACAGCCATTGGATTCAACTCAGAGCTAACTAGGAATCCCTACCTGATTAATAGTGACCGACATGAAAATAAGGGAGGCCCAGGTGCGTAACTGGAATCTAGGAGACGGTGGAAAAGGCAATTCCCGCCCCACTGGTGAAACGTAGGGTTGATTTACACACTAAATGAATGAAAGATGGATATAAGCTATGCTTGTGAGGTAGAATCATTTGCAGGGAGGGCTTGCTGGGTTTGATTTTTCCTAGTAGTTTAATCCTTGTTTCATTAATTTCTTTCTGAGATGTGTTTTTTTTCTACATCTAAATCAATACCTGGCAGAGGAGCGATAGACACATGAGGGGTGGTGCAAATGAAGGGACCTAGTATAATATAATATACAAGACTGTGGATGGGGGCTCACACCTGTAACCCAACACTTTGGGAGGCCAAGGCGGGTAGATCACTTAAGGGTAGGAGTTTGAGACCAGCCTGGCCAACATGGTGAAACCCCGTCTGTACTAAAAATACAAAAATTAGCCTGGTGCATTGGCACCTGCCTGTAATCCCAGCGACTGGGGAGGCTGAAGCAGAAGAATGGCTTCAACCCTGGAGGCAGAGGTTGAACTGAGATCGCATCACTGCACTCCAGCCTGACACAGGGGGACTCTGTCTCAAAAAATAAAAATAAAACATACATAATTAATATGACACACAGAAATTACAAAGGCAACTGGATACCAACCATCATTTTTCTATTTCTCTGTATTTAATTCTTTGACCCTTTATCTTATCCATTAAACAATCAGGTTAAACCTCTTCCTTATTTGGCTTTCTGTGAGCTTGGGATCATATGGAAAATGTGAAAGCCTCCTGAACCCACCAGCACAGGTCCTGGAATAGAGAACATGCTCTGTTCATGGCATAAAACTTGCCCCTTCACCCAAATCCCCCAATTCATCTCTACTTCCAATCACCTATGGAGATACAGATAGATCATGGGGAGGTAAACACTAATACTCTTTGGAGTGAGCTCAGATCTTGGACTCAGAGACCAGTGCCAGCACTAGCCCCTGGTCACATTTCGTACTAACTCACAGAAGGACAGGCTGTATTGAAACAATAAACGACGGAGAGGGCGGTCCTTCCCCGTGCTTCTCGGGTGGAATAGCAGCCTAATATATGTCTCAGCAGATCACAAAAAGTAGCATGTTGTTCCTGGGCTACATCATTATTTCATGGCTGTTTGATTTAAGTCAGTTCTACTTCACTTTTTTTATCTTGATTTCATTTTTTCTTTCTTTTCTTGGAGAATGTAATTTTTTTTGAGTCAAGAGGGTTGTGGTGGTAGAAACTGTAAAGCACATTCGCTGTGTATCAATCCCAATCCAGTCTTCCCAGAGAAGATTCTAAACACCTCCTGGAATGCACCTGGGCCTATACCAATTCCTATCACTCACCGTCACTCCAGGGAGACAGAACACACAGAGAACACATTACACAGGCAGGTTCATTACTAACAGATAAGCAGCGAGTGACAACAGAAACCTACATTTCAATGTGAGCCAGTCCCTCAAGGCTCAGAAAAGCTGCTCGAGACATGTGGAGTCACCCCATATGCAGTGTATCTGGGGGAAATCAAAAAGCAGCCCAGCCTGGGTTTTGTACCCTGGAGCCACAGGAAGCACTCAGCTAAAGCACTGCATGACGTCCTCCTCCAGGAAGAACAGGAAGACAGCCCAGGCTGTTCTGGGATGTTCCTCCTGATCTCAGGACGTTGCTGTCTTAGTCCATTTTTGTTGCTCTAAAGGAACACTTGAGCCTGGGTAACTTCTAAAGAAAAGAAATGTGTTTGCCTCACAGTTCTGCAGGCTGTACTGGAAGCATGGCACCAGCATCTATTTCTTGTGACGGCCTCAGGCTGCTCCCACTCTGGCAGAAGGGAAGGAGGGTCTGTCTGTGCAGAGACCACAGAGATCACACGGCAAGAGAGGGACCAAGGGGGAGGGGGAGCGATGGAGCTTCCAAGCTCTTTTAACAACCAGTTCTCCAGGAACTAATAGAGGGGGAACTTGCTAACCCCGTCTCCTTGGAACAGCATTGATCTGTTCATGATGGATCCACCTCCATGACCCAAACAACTCCCAAGAGGCCCAACCTCCCACCCTGGGGGTTACATTTCAATGTGAGGTTTGAAGGGGTCAAACATCTAAACTAAAGCAGTTGTATCCTCAGCACGTTCTATGGTTACTACAACTGAGAAAGCAGGAGGAAGCTAGGTCTCCCGCCATCTGGGTGCTTGTCCTAAAGAGACGTTGTATGTGGTTACCTGTCAATCAAGAAATGTGAGACAATTCATATAGAGGAACTGCTATGATTAGCTTCTTATTGGTGTCTTGTCTTCCTCCAGGTAACTCCAGACACCTGCACGTTCTGATTGGGACCTCAGTGGTCATCATCCCCTTTGCTATCCTCCTCTTCTTTCTCCTTCATCGCTGGTGTGCCAACAAAAAGAGTAAGTCTCACGAAGCAGAAGCCAGAGAGCTCAGGGCCATGTGGGGAAGCAGGATGGGAGCACTCAGGTGTGTGTTCCTCACAGGCAGGATGGTCCCTGGCCCAAGGCAGGAGCCACAGAGGCAGGACTTTCTAGAGAGAGCACCAGACTCCCTGCCTCTGCCTTCAGCTCACAGACCATTGCCTGATTCTGAACCGTATCCTCACATCCCCTGCAGCCACTCACATCCAGGAGAAGGTTCCATGACAGGCAGAAAGTGGGACACAGAATCAATAGGATGGGAACTCAGAGCTATACATGGGATGGATCCTTGAGCTCAGAGAGATAGAATGTCTGAGTCTGCTGTTGGCAACTGAGGGACCTCAGGCACCTATGGCCTCCCCCTGTATGTTGGTATCTGCTTATGAAATGAGGACCCAGAAGTGCCCTCCGAGCTGTTTTGACGACTTCCGTCTTCTACAGATGCTGTTGTAATGGACCAAGAGCCTGCAGGGAACAGAACAGTGAACAGGGAGGTAGGTGCTCCTCCGCCCAGCCTCGTGGCTAGTCTTATTCCCAAAGAGTCCTGGAAAATGTGAGCACCCTCCCTCACTCAGCATTTCCCTCCCTCCAGGACTCTGATGAACAAGACCCTCAGGAGGTGACATACGCACAGTTGAATCACTGCGTTTTCACACAGAGAAAAATCACTCGCCCTTCTCAGAGGCCCAAGACACCCCCAACAGATACCAGCGTGTAACACGGAACTTCCAAATGCTGAGCGCAGATCCAAAGTTGTCTTCTGTCCACTAGCACCACAGTCAGGCCTTGATGGGATCTTCTAGGGAGACAATAGCCCTGTCTCAAAACCGGGTTGCCAGCTCCCATGTACCAGCAGCTGGACTCTGAAGGCGTGAGTCTGCATCTTAGGGCATCGCTCTTCCTCACACCACGAATCTGAACATGCCTCTCTCTTGCTTACAAATGTCTAAGGTCCCCACTGCCTGCTGGAGAGAAAACACACTTGCTTAGCCCACAATTCTCCATTTCACTTGACCCCTGCCCACCTCTCCAACCTAACTGGCTTACTTCCTAGTCTACTTGAGGCTGCGATCACACTGAGGAACTCACAATTCCAAACATATAAGAGGCTCCCTCTTAACACGGCACTTAGATACGTGCTATTCCACCTTTCCTCAGAGTATCTTTCAGCCTTCTGTCAGCAGTAAAACTTATAAATTTTTTTTATAATTTCAATGTAGTTTTCTCTTCTTCAAGTAAACATGTCTGCCCTCATGGTTTCGTCAATGGGACTCTTTTCTTGCCTAAGGCTTCCGGTGTTATCATTACCACGTCCACATAACCCCATCTGTTCTCCGCTGGGTTCTCACCCCTGGACTCTGAGCTTCTGGAAGCAGGGTGGAGCCTGAATTGTCTCTGAGACTCCAATTTCCATCCAAAGATGCAGCACATAGGAGGTTCCAAGGATGGTGAATCAGATGAACAAGTGATATTCTTACTCTCTGCAGATCTGGAAAGCTGGCAGAGTCATTCCACGATGAAACATTTGTAGAGTCATAGGCCTTGTTAGTCTCATCTCCACAGGGACACGTATCAACACATCATCTTTCATACTACTATAAATAGACAGTCACTCCTCCATATCTCTGGGGTTTACACATGTTTATTGAATCAGCAATAAATCAAAAATATTTTGAGAAAAAAAATCCCCGAAGTTTCAAAAAGCAAAAAACTATGTTGAATCGACACAAATTGAGTGGCGTGTAGGCTGTGTCAGGAATTATAAGTAATCAAGAGATGATTTCATGTATACAGGAGGATGTGCATGGGTTCTATGCAATTGCTATGCTATTTTTTTTTTTTTTGAGACAGTCTCACTCTCTCACCCAGGCTGGAGTGCAGTGGCGTGATCTCAACTCACTGCAACCTCCGCCTTCCAGGT
The DNA here is from genome assembly GCF_000001405.40 of Homo sapiens. Classification (NCBI taxonomy): domain Eukaryota; kingdom Metazoa; phylum Chordata; class Mammalia; order Primates; family Hominidae; genus Homo; species Homo sapiens. The sequence continues at coordinate 171,102 of NT_187641.1, read as the reverse complement.
TCAAGCGATTCTCTTCCCTCAGCCTCCCCAGTAGCCTCCCCTAGGATTACAGGCACGTGCCACCCTGCACAGATAAATTTTTTTGTGTGTATATTTTTAGTAGAGATGGGGTTTCAGAATGTTGGACCAGCTGGTCTTGAACTCCTGACCTTGTGATCTACCCAGCTCAGCCTCCCAAAGTGCTGGGATTACAGGCGTGAGCCACGGTGCCCAGCTTCACTATGCCATTTCATGCAAGGGGCTTGAGCATCTGCAGATTTTGGTATCTGAATGGGGATCCTGGAACCAATCACCCAGGTATAGTGAAGGACCATGGTATATAATTTTTATTTGTCAATCTTAAAAATAAAGCATAAAAAATTTACAACAACAAGATAAAAAATAAGAAGTGTTTTTATAGTGTGAGGATAAGTTTAGATTTATTTTTTCCTACGTGTAACCCTATGGTCCTGTGTTATTTGTTGAGAAAATATTCTATTCCACCTTAAACTACATGGCAGCCTTTGTCAACTATAAAGGGACTGTGTATCCACAGATGTATTTTAGACACAGTTTTCTGTCCAGTGGTTCTCTGTATCCCCTCTCATGAGGATGCTGCATTTTATATAAACTTATAGAACCCCTTAAAATTTGGTAACCTGAGTCCTCTGATTTGTTATTATAGGTTATTTAGTTTGCTTTTTTTTTTTTTCTTGAGACAGACTCTTCCTCTGTCACCCAAGCTGGAGTTCAGTGGCTTGAGCTCAGCTCACTGCAACCTCCGTCTCCCAGGTTCAAGCTATTCTGATGCCTCTGGTTTAGTAGTAGAAACTCAAGCAGGAAAATTAGAATGGCTTCTTGTCACAATTACTCTGATAATGTTAATAATACCTGTTAGACATTTTGCACATTACATATGAAGAAGAGTTTGAATCTCAGATAAAAACAAAAATACATCAAAAATCTTTAATGTAAGCACAGAATTCAATCATCTCGTGTATGAGAGGTTGGATCTGAGACGTCTTTTGAGTCTGGTCGTAGTGAAGGACGCAAGGTGTCAATTCTAGTGAGAACAATTTCCAGGAAGCCATGTTCCGCTCTTGAGCGAGCACCCACTGGGCCTCATGCAAGGTAGAAAGAGCCTGCGTACGTCACCCTCCCATGATGTGGTCAACATGTAAACTGCATGGGCAGGGCGCCAAATAACATCCTGTGCGCTGCTGAGCTGAGCTGGGGCACGGCTGCCTGTCTGCACAGACAGCACCATGTCGCTCATGGTCGTCAGCATGGTGTGTGTTGGTGAGTCCTGGAAGGGCATCGAGGGAGGGAGTGCGGGGATGGAGATCGGGGCCCAGAGTTGGAGATATAGGCCTGGAAGTGGAGTTATGGGCCTAGAGATGGAGTGATGGGCCTAGAAGTGGAGATCTGGGCCTGGAGTGGAGATCTGGGCCTGGAGTGGAGATATGGGCCTGGAGGTTGAGATATGGGCCTGCAGTAGAGATATGGGCTTGTAGTGGAGACATGGGCCTGGAGATGGAGATATGGGCCTGGAGATGGAGATATGGGCCTGCAGTAGAGATAGGGGCCTGGAGTGGAGATATGGGCCTGGAGTGGAGATATGGGCCTGGAGGTGGAGATATGGGCCTGGAGGTGGAGATATGGGCCTGGAGTGGAGATATGGGTCTGGAGGTGGAGATACGGGCCTGCAGTAGAGATATGGGCCTGGAGTGGAGATATGGGCCAGGAGTGGAGTTATGGGCCTAGAGATGGATATCTGGGCCTGGAGTGGAGATATGGGCCTAGGAAGGAGATATGGGCCTGGGTGTGGAGATATGGGACTGGAGAGGTGATATGGGCCTGGAGTGGAGATATGGGCTTAGGGTGGAGATCTGGGCCTGGGGCGGAGATATGGGACTGGATTGGAGATAGGGGCCTAGGGTGGAGATCTGAGCCTGGATTGGCGATATGGGCCTAGGGTGGAAATATCAGCCTGGAGTGGAGATATGGGCTTGGGGTGGGGATATGGGCCTGGAAACTGGGTCTCTGCACAGCCGACAGCCCTGTTCTTGGGTGCAGGTAGGCACTGAGGGTGAGTTTAACTTCAGCCCAGGAAGGGCCTGGCTGCCAAGACTCACAGCCCAGTGGGGGCAGCAAGGGAGGCCTGGTTTGCCTGCAGATGGATGGTCCATCATGATCTTTCTTTCCAGGGTTCTTCTTGCTGCAGGGGGCCTGGCCACATGAGGGTGAGTCCTTCTCCAAACCTTCGGGTGTCATCTCCCCACATAAGAGGATTTTCCTGAAACAGGAGGGAAGTCCTGTCGGGGAGTCTCTCATAAACTAGGAAGAGAGGACCCTGGGGTGCTCAGCCCACATTTCTGACCTCGCCTCCCTGGCCTCTCAACCCCTTGGCAGAGTCAAGTTCTGTGGGGACCAGGGTTAGACTGGGGTGCTCAAAGCTGGGGTGTGTGGTTGGGAAGTGGTAGGAACAGCAGATCCTCTGAGGACAAAGGTGTTACTCACACACTTCAGCGTTTCCATGATGGTAGGGGCTGCAGTGTGGCTGCTGTCATTCTACCAGAAGAGGTGGGAAACCACAGCCATGGCCCTGACATTCCAAATCCTCTGATGGGGGCTCAGTTGTTTATTTTCGTTCAGGCATCCGCTGATATCCATTCACAAAGGACATGCCCTCCACCTCATGTCTACCCTGTGTTGTTTTATGTGAGTAATCTTACAGTATTAAAATCTAGTAGGAGTCTCTTTACTCAGCACTTGCTCAAAGTTCTCAGCTGAGGCTTTTGTTGTAGGGAGACACCATGTCTTTGCGGGATGGGTCCTTCCTTCAGCCCTGGGCACCAAGGTGTGATAGTAGCCATAGAAACGTGGAAAGCGAGGAGAATCTTCTGAGCACAGGGAGGGAAGGGCAGTTCCACATCCTCCTCTCTAAGGCGGCGCCTCCTTCTCCCCAAGGTGGTCAGGACAAGCCCTTGCTGTCTGCCTGGCCCAGCCTTGTGGTGCCTCTAGGACATGTCATTCTTCGGTGTCACTCTTATCTTGGGTTTAACAACTTCAGTCTGTAAAAGGAAGGTGGGGTGCCTGTCCCTGAGCTCTACAACAGAATATTCTGGAACAGCCTTTTCATGGGCCCTGTGACCCCCGCACACACAGGGACATACAGATGTCGGGGTTCACACACACACTCCCCCAGTGGGTGGTCAGCACCCAGCAACCCCCTGGTGATCGTGGTCATAGGTCAGAGGGCTCCTGTCTTGGATTCTCCTTGTCCCACCTCCTGAATCCCAGAGCTTCTGTTGGGCATGTCCTTGAGGGTCCCATCACGCAGGCCCTGACTGTATTTGTGGTAAAGGGGGATTGAATACAGGGAAATGGGTGCTGTGGTGGGAAGAATAATTGTCCCCAGTGATGACTACATTCTAATCCCTGGAGTCTGTGACTATTTATGTTATAGGGGAAGGGACTGAAGGGGAAGATGGAGCTCATGGGGAGACAGCCTGGACTGTCCCACTGGGCTCAGTGTAATCACAAGGGTGCACATGAAAGGAGGAGGAAGAGGGGAGTGGGGATTAGAGCAGTCCAGTGGAAGTCTTCACCAGCTTTGAAGGTGGAGGAAGGCCAAGATCCATGAATGCAGGTGGCCTATAGAGGCTGGAAAAGTCAAGGAACTGATTCTCCAGAGTCTCCAGAGGGAACAAAGCCCTGCAGATGCCTTGATTTTAGCCCAGGAAAAATAGGGTCCAATTTCTGTCTCCAGTACTGGAAGGTGTCAGTGTGGTCTCTCCTGCTGCCATGCTTCTGATAATTTTCTACAGCAGCAACAGGAAACCAACACTGGAACCCAGGTCAAGGACAAGTTAAGAAACAACCCAAGGAAAGCCAGGCATGGTGGCAGGTGCATGTAATCCTAGCGACTCAGGAGGCTGAGGGCAGGAGAATCACTTGAACCCAGGAGACAGAGGTTGCAGTGAGCCTAGACCACACCACTTCACTCCAGCCTGGGTGAAGGAGTGAGACTCTGTCTCCATAATTAATTAATTAATTAAAGAAACCAAACAAGGAGAAGGTTGGCTACCCTGAGATCAGCAAGGGTGGGATGATGATGCCACCACCAGGCTCCATCCACATAGGGAGGGGTTGATACTCCTCCAACCAGCACCAGGAGCCAGCCTATGGAAGCTGGCACCATGGAGAAGGCACAGGCATGGCAAGAGTGGCTCCCAGTCCCCACCAGGAACAGGGTGTGTGGACACTGGTGCCTGCCTTATTCATCAGTTCATACCTTCTGCCAAGGATTGCAATTCATCCAAAAGAGATTGAACCAGGCTGATAAGAGCCTGGATGTGCAGCCTATCCTGGTTCCTCTTTCACCCCCACATAAACAGCAGGAAATACATTAGTGTGAAATAGATACAACACCCCAAGAGATGAGGCTCAGCCCAGTGGGAAGGGAATCAGAGGCTACTAGAGACAGAGGGACAGAGAAGAGGGAGGGAGACAGATGGAAGGACCTGCACCAGGAGTTAAGGGCACAGAAAAGAACATGAAGACACAGAGAGGAAGGAGAGAGACAGACACCAGCAAGGGGAAGCCTCACTCATTCTAGGTGCCATGGATGGGATGATAAAGAGAGACACCTTCTAAACTCACAACCTCTCTTCCTAGGAGTCCACAGAAAACCTTCCCTCCTGGCCCACCCAGGTCCCCTGGTGAAATCAGAAGAGACAGTCATCCTGCAATGTTGGTCAGATGTCAGGTTTCAGCACTTCCTTCTGCACAGAGAAGGGAAGTTTAAGGACACTTTGCACCTCATTGGAGAGCACCATGATGGGGTCTCCAAGGCCAACTTCTCCATCGGTCCCATGATGCAAGACCTTGCAGGGACCTACAGATGCTACGGTTCTGTTACTCACTCCCCCTATCAGTTGTCAGCTCCCAGTGACCCTCTGGACATCGTCATCACAGGTGAGAGTGTCCGGACATTCTCATTGTCATTGGGATGCAGAGTGAATGATCCACGACTTGGAACCCCCAGGTAGTTGTAAGGAAGATGAGCTTGGTATTCTTATGGAGAGAGACTGACTTGCTGAGGTTTGTACCAACAGAGACAGAGAAACAGGAGACACAAGTACAGACCAGGTGTCATAACAGAGGACAGACACAGGGGCCATACAGGGAGTTAGAAAAGACAGAAAGAGTTAAAAGAGACAGACAGACAGACATGTCCCAGAGAGAGGTGTCCCTCCATGCTGACTTTGCTCACAGACCTGGCACAGGTTAGAAGTTTCATTTCTGTTTTACCTCCACAAAGTGTTCTCTACCAGGAGAACCCAAGGACACCCATATTTATGACCTGAGTTGGGCCCTGTGGCCTCAGGCCTTGTGGCACCTACAGGCCATGTTTATTCTGACACCTCTGCCTTCCATGTAATGGAGAGTAATCGTCCCAGGATATCATGGCCCCAGAACACCAACCCCTGTATGCTGTGTGAACTTGTGGTCTCCAGACTGGATTCTGTGGCTCACATTCCAAATAACCCCACATATGAAAGGATCACTGAGAGGCACAGAGAAAAATCAGGAACACCAAAAAGCAAAGACATAAACACACAGAGAATGAGCCAGAGGAAGGAGATTGAGAGACTCACAGACACATAAAGAGAGAGAAAAGAGGGCAGAGGAGTGGTGAGAATGATGGCAGGGAGCAGAGAAAAGCACTAAAATTAGAGTCCTGAGAGAGAGGCACAAGGACATAGAAACATGGAGATGTGGGGATGAATTGCAGAGATTCCAAAGAGAACTAGAGAGACCGAGAGGCAGAGCAAGACAGATGATAGATGGATAGATATAGATAGATGATAAATAGGTAGATGATAGATAATAGGTTAAAGATACATAGATGATGATTGATTGATTCATTAATAGATAATACATAGAGATGATGATGATGAAGACAGATAATACGTACAGATAGAGAGGCAGACAGAAATCATAGAGAGAGAGATGATACATACATATAAATAACAGATGATTGATGGATAGATAGACAAGTGATAGATACATAGATGATATATAGATATAGATGACAGGTAGAGAATTTGTAGATAGGCACCGAATAGATAAATAGATAGATCGACAGATAATAGATAGAAATATGCAGAAAGTTATGAACAGGACACAACGTGAGAAACTTAGAATTTAAAAAAGTAACATCAAGTCAACCAATCCAAGGAGAGTCAGAGAGAATAAAAGAATCCAAAAAGGGAAAACATATCTAGAGGTGGGGAAGCGAGGTCAGAGACCTAGAGAGACAGAGAAGGTGGAAGAAGGAAATAGACATGAAGAGAGATGGGGTGGAGGGTGAGAGAGAGAGAGAGAGAGAGCATTAGGTCATAGAGCAGGGGAGTGAGTTCTCAGCTCAGGTGAAGGGAGCTGTGACAAGGAAGATCCTCCGTAAGGAAAATGCCTCTTCTCCTCCAGGTCTATATGAGAAACCTTCTCTCTCAGCCCAGCCGGGCCCCACGGTTCTGGCAGGAGAGAGCGTGACCTTGTCCTGCAGCTCCCGGAGCTCCTATGACATGTACCATCTATCCAGGGAGGGGGAGGCCCATGAACGTAGGTTCTCTGCAGGGCCCAAGGTCAACGGAACATTCCAGGCCGACTTTCCTCTGGGCCCTGCCACCCACGGAGGAACCTACAGATGCTTCGGCTCTTTCCGTGACTCTCCATACGAGTGGTCAAACTCGAGTGACCCACTGCTTGTTTCTGTCACAGGTGAGGAAACCCCATATCTGTCTCATGTCCTATGATCCTAGAGCCTTAGCTGAGGAGCTTCCTGCTGATGATGGAGAGAAGCATGGACAGATGCAGAGAGAAGACGAAGCTTGGGTGTGAGGGAGGGATCAGGGCACAGGATGGCAGACAGGGCACCTCCAAACCCTCCTACACGGCCTGCATGAAGGCCCGCGGCCAGGGCTCCAGGCACACAGGCAGATGGAGAAAACGGTCAGGAGAGACCCAGAGGAGAGAGACTGGGCTCAGTTTGGGAAGATCAGAGGTTCCCTCAGCCCCTCAACATTACCCATTTCCCAGAAGCCCATCCTGGCCTCTCACCCACACAGGGATGTCATCACCAGCAACCCCTACACCCTTTACTTTTGTTTGAAGAAATATTTATTGAGGATAAATATACCTATATAGCTTACCACCTTTAACATTTTTTTTTTTTTTGAGGCAGAGTCTAGCTCTGTCCCCTATGCTGGAGTGCAGTGGCACAATCTCAGCTCACTGCAACTTCCGCCTCCTGGGTTCAAGTGATTCTCCTGCTTCAGCCACCTGAGTAGCTGGTGCTACAGGCGCGCACCACCACGCCAGGCTACTTTTTGTATTTTTAGTAGAGAGGGGGTTTCACCATGTTGGTCGAGCTGGTCTCCAACTCCTGACCACGTGATCCACCCGCATCTGCCTCCCAAAGTGCTGGGATTACAGGCATGAGCCACCACGCCCAGCCACATTTACCATTTTTAAGTGTAAAGTCTAGTGGTCATAAATACATTTATATATATATATATATATATATATATACACACACACACACATATATAAACATATATATATATATATATATATATATATATATATTTTTTTTTTTTTTTTTTTTTACCCTCCACCCTTTTATTCCTGGCCTCTGGAAGCCACCATTCTACTCTCTACCTTCATGAGATCCACCTTTTAGCTCTGTATATGGGTGAGAAATGGGAATCTTTGTAATGACTTCCAGTTCCATCCATGTGGCTGCAAATATCAGGATGTTATTCTTTCTATGGATGAGTAGTCTCCACTGTGCGTATGTACTACATTCTCTCTATCCATTCATCCACTGATGGGCAGGTAGGTTGACTCCACATCTTGGCTACTGTGAACAGTGCTGCACCAATCATACGAGTGCAGATATCACTTCGATATATTGATTTACTTTCCTTTGGATATAAACCCAGTAGTGAAATTGCTGGATACTATGAAAGTTCTCTTTTTAGTTATTCGTTTGTTGTTTTGTTTTTGTTTTTGAGACAGTTTCCCTCTGTGCCCAGGCTGGAGTACAAGTGAAGTCATCTTGGCTCATTGCAACCTCCGCCTCCTGGGTTCAAATGATTTTCCTGCCTCAGCCTCCCTAGTAGCTGGGATTACAGGTGCACGCCACCATGCCTGGCTACTTTTTGTTTTTTTTAGTATAGATGGGGTTTCCCCATGTTGGCTGGGCTGCTCTCAAACTCATGACCTCAACTGAGGTGCCCGCCTCGGTCTCCCAAAGTGCCGGGATTACAGGCATGATCCACCTCACCCAACCTCTTTTTAGTTCTTTAAAGGACTTCCACACTTTTCTCCGTAAAGGCTGTACTAATTTACACTCCTACCAACAGGGTATTAGGGTTCTCCTTTCTCTACCACTTTGGCAGGATTTCCTTTGCCTGTCTTGCAGCTAAAAGCCATTTTATTTTATTTCATTTTATTTTGAGATGGAGTTTCGCTCTTGTCACCCAGGCTGGAGTGCAGTGGTGCGATCTCGGCTCACCACAACCTCCACCTCCCAGGTTCAAGCGATTCTCCTGCCTCAGCCTCCCGAGTAGCTGGAATTACAGGCACACGCCACCACGCCCAACTAAATTTTGTATTTTTAGTAGAGACAGTGTTTCTTCATGTGGGTCAGACTGGTCTCAAACTCCCGACCTTATGAGGTTCACCCACCTCAGGCTCTCAAAGGTCTAGGATGACAGACGTGAGCCACCACGCCCGGCCTAAAATCCATTTTAATGGGGTGAGATGAAAACTCACTTTGATTTTAATTTGTGTTTCTCTGATGATGAGTGAAACTGAGCACTTTTTAGTATGTGGGGAAATTTCATGTGTTTTGCTCCTTTTTCAATTAAATCGTTTGTTTTATTGAGTTGTTTGAGCTTCTTATATTTCTAGTTATTAATCCCATCTCAGATGCATAGTTTGCACATATTTGCTCCCAATCTGTGGGTTGTCTCTTCACTTTGTTGGTTTATTTTTAGCGGTGCAGAAGTTGCTTAGTTTGAGGTAATCCCAATGGTCTATTTTTGCTTCGATTACTTGTGTTTTGAAGGTTTAAAACAAAATGTCTTCCTTCAGACAAATGTCCTGGAGCATTTCCCCAATATTTTCTTCTACGTGTTTCATAGGTTCAGGCCTTAGACTCACATCTTTAATCCATTTTCATTTGAGTTTTGTGTATAGTGACAGGTAGAGGTGCAGTTTCATTCCTCTGCATGTAGATGTCCAGGTTTCCCTGCACTGTTTATTGAAAAGACTGTCCTTTCCTGATTGTGAGTTCTTGGCACCTTTGTCAAAGTCCATTGGATGGGCTGGGCATGGTGGCTGACACCTGCAATTTCAGCACTTTGGGAGCCCAAGGCGGGTGGATCACCTGAGGCCAGGAGTTCAAGATTAGTCTGGCCGACGTGATGAAACATTGTCTCCACTAAAAATATAAAAATTAGCTGAGCATGGTGGTCAGCACCTGTAATACCACTACTCAGGAGTTTGAGGCCAGAGAATTGATTGAACCCAGGAGGCTGTGGTGGCAGTGAACCGAGATTGCACCTCTGCACTCCAGCCTGGGTGACAGAGCGAGACTCCATCTCAAAAGAAAAAAGAAAAAAACATTGGAGGTAAATGCATGGATTATATCTGTGTTCTTCATTCTGCTCCATTGTTCTACGTGCCTTTCTTTATGCCAATGTGATGCTGTTTTGCTTACTACAGCTCTGTAACATATTTTGAGATCAGGTAGTGTGATGCTCCTGTTTTCTCTTTATACCTTGAAGTCTCAAGACAGTGGGCGTCACATACAAAAATTACGGAAAAAAGGATCCCAGGACTCCCAGGGCCCAATATTAGATAACAGAGTGTTGGCCATGAACCAACCTCAAAGATTTCCATTGAGTAGAGGACAGACACCCTCATTTCCTCACCTCTCTCCTGTCTCGTGTTCTAGGAAACCCTTCAAATAGTTGGCCTTCACCCACTGAACCAAGCTCCGAAACCGGTGAGTACAGAACCCTCTTATATCCGCTTTTGGAAACCTGGGGAGGTAGAAACCTTCGATGCAGGCATTGACTCAGCATCTCGCAGCTCTGACATTGTACGCCTGTCTTCTACCATCTCCGAACTCCAGATACTCCAACAGCGAAAGGGATCTGGGCCCAACCTAGGGCTCAGTGAAATCTCTTAATCTCTCATTTTATGGAGCTGAGACCTCCTACAAGCTAGAAGAATGATTGCCAATCTGACATCCTTCTCAGGAAAAATGCAATGTTTGTTCTGCCTGCATTCCTAACTGGAGGATAAATTCCTGGGGGCTTGAGAGAGGGAAGGGAAGGGAACATCTGATGAGGGCGAGGTGTTTTAGAGAAGTTCCACTTGCCAAGGAATGAATTACTGTTGGTCATGAAGCAACCCTGGCTGACTCAGCAGAGCAACAGCCTTGCCGTAACAGAGAACGGAGCTCATGCACGCACACTTCGACTCACTGACTCATTCAGCCACGGCCCCATGCTCAGGCTGTGCAGTGCGGAACCTTTTCCTATTGTTGCCATAACAAATTTCCACAAGATTCGTGGGTGAAAACAAAACGGTTTTTTAATTATCTTACAGTGCTGTAGCTCAAAGTAGGAAGTGCATCTTACTGGGCTAAAATCAAGGTGACAGCAAGGCTGCCTTCCCTCTGAGGATTCCAGGCAAGAATCTGCTTCTCACTTATCCCAGCTTCTAAAGGCTCCCAGTTCCTTGGCTCCTGTTCCCCTTCCTCCTTCCTCAAAGCCCACAAAGACTGGTCACATCTCACATGGCATCACTCAGTGCCTTCTTCCTTACCACACCTCTTTCTCTGAATGCTGCTCTCCCTTCTTCCTTATCTTTTGAAAACTTGGGGATTCTATTGGGTTCACCAAGATGAAAATCCCTCATAATCTCCTGGAAATCATCCAGGATACCCTTGTTTTAAGTTCAGCTGATTAGCAACCGCAATTCCATCTACAATCTTCATTCCTCCTTTCCATGTAAAATAACATATTCACAAGCTATGGAGGCTAGGACAGGGACATTTTGGGGTGGGACAGCATTCTCCTGCCTTCCACAAACGGTGAACAAGATGCATTTGGCTTCTGCCCTTGGGACACTGATATTGCAGATGGTTAAATGGGAGGGCAGAAAATGAATGCACAAGTGGATCTATAAATGAATGATCCATTGGGAAGCATCTGTGCATGAAATCTATTTTTTGTTTGTTCTTTTGTTTATTGAGACAGAGTCGCCCTCTGTCTTCCAGGCTACAGTGCAGTGTCACGATCTTGGCTCACTGCAACCTGCGTCTCCTGGATTCAAGTGATTCTCCTGCCTCCGCCTCTCGAGTAGCTGGGATTACAGGCAACTGCCACCGTGCCCGGCTAATTCTTTTTGTATATTTTTTGTAGAGAGGATGTTTCACCACGTTGGCCAAGCTTGTCTGAAACTCCCAACCTCAAGTGATCCGACCGTCTCAGCATGCCAAAGTAATGGGACTACAGGCGTGAGCCACTGTGCCCAGCCAGAATTCAAAATCAATAATAGATAATGCTGAGTGTATGATTTCAGGTGACAAAGAAGGTCTCACTATTCAGATATTTGTGACATTAATGAAAAACACGGATTGAACCCCTGAAAGATTGGCGGAAGGATTTTGCACACACAGCTGTCAGCCGTGAAGGCACAAAGGTGAAAACAATCTGATGTGGAAGGAAGAGGCTCTGCCTCAAATGCTGGGAATGATGTGGGGAGAATGACAAGACGACTGTAGAGAGACGGAGAGCACACTGGGTACACAGGAAACTAAGGAGCAACAAGGAGTGTGTGTTTGACACTCACAGCCATTGGATTCACCTCGGGGTAACCAGGAATCCCTACATGATTAATATGACTGACATGAAAATAAGGGAGGCTCAGTTGCATAACTGGAATCTAGGAGACCGTGGAAAAGGCAATTGCCACCCCACTGGTGAAATGTGGTGCTGATTTAGACACTAAATGAATGAAGTAGATGGATATAAGATATGTTTGTGAGGTAGAATCATTGACTGGAAACGCTTACTGGGTTTGATTTTCCTACTTGTTTAATCCTCGCTTAATTAATTTCTTTCTGAGATTTATTCATCCTACACATAAATCAATACCTGGCAAAGGAGTGACAGATATATGAGTGGTGGTGGAAATGAAGAGACTTATTATAGCATAATATACAAGTCTGTGAACAGTGGCTCACGCCTGTAACCTAGCACTGCAGGAGGCCAAGGTGGGTGGATTCCATGAAGTCAGGAGTTCCAGACCAGCCTGGCCAACGTGGTGAAACCCTATCTCTACTAAAAATACAAAAATTAGCCGAGCACGATGGTGCATCCCTGTAATCCCAGCTCCTATTCTGGAGGATGAAGCAGGAGAATGACTTCAACCCAGTAGGTGGAGGTTGCAGTGAGTGGAGATTGCATCACTGCACTCCAGCCTGGGGGACACAAGGAGACTCTATCTCAAAAAATAAAAATAAGAAATACATAAATATAATAAAACACACACGAATGACAAAGGCACCTGAATTCCAATCATCGTTTTTCTATTTCTCTATAATTACTTCTTTGATCCTTTATCTTATCCATTAGGCAATGAGCTTAAAACCTCTTCCCTATTTGGCTTTCTGTGAGAATGAGATCACATAGAAAATGTGAAAGCCCTCAGAATCCTCCAGCACAGATCGTGGAATAGAGAAAGTGCTCTGTTCATCGCAACAAAAAACTTGCCCACTCACCCAAATCCCCCACCTCACCCCTACTTCCAATCACCTGTGGAGATTCAGATAGGCTATGGGGAGGTAAACATTGATACTCCTTGGAGTGAGTCCAGATCTTGGAATCAGAGATCAGTGCCAGCACTAGCTCCTGCTCCCCTTTCCTACTAATTCACAGGAGGACAGGTGGTATTGAAGCAATAGATGGCCGAGGGGGTGGTCCTTCCCCCAGCCTCTCGGGTAGAACAGCAGCCTAACATGTGTCTCCCGAGATCACAAAGAGTAGCACGTTTCACACGGGCTTCAACACTATTTCCTGGCCATTTGACATAAGAGAATTCTACTTAGCTTTTTTTATCTTGATTTCACTTTTGTTTCCTTTTCTTGGAGAATGCAAGTTGTTTGATTCAAGAATGCTGTGGATGTAGAAATCCTAAAGCACATTCGCTGTGTATCAATCCCAGTGCAGTCTTCCCAGAGAAGACTCTAAATACCTCCTGGACTGCACCTGGGCTTATGCCAATTCCTATCACTCACCGTCACTCCAGGGAGACAGAACACACAGAGAATACATTACACAGGCAGGTTCATTACTAACAGATAAGCAGCGAGTGACAACAGAAACCTACATTTCAATGTGAGCCAGTCCCTCAAGGCTCAGAAAAGCTACTCGGGACATATGGAGTCACCCCATTTGCAGTGTAGCTGGGGGAAGCCAGAGAGCAGCCCAGCCTGGGTTTTGTACTGTGGAGCCACAGGAAGCACTCAGCTAAAGCACTGCATGACGTCCTCCTCCAGGAAGAACAGGAAGACAGCCCAGGCTGTTCTGAGACGTTCCTCCTGATCTCAGGACGTTGCTGTCTTAGTCCATTTTTGTTGCTCTAAAGGAACACTTGAGCCTGGGTAACTTCTAGAGAAAAGAGATTGGTTTGCCTCACAGTTCTGCAGGCTGTACTGGAAGCGTGGCACCAGCATCTATTTCTCGTGACGGCCTCAGGCTGCTCCCACTCTGGCAGAAGGGAAGGAGGGTCTGTCTGTGCAGAGACCACAGAGATCACACGGCAAGAGAGGGAGCAAGGGGGAGGGGGAGCGATGGAGCTTCCAAGCTCTTTTGAACAACCAGCTCTCCAGGAACTAATAGAAGGGGAACTTGCTAACCCCGTCTCCTTGGGACAGCATTGGTCTGTTCATGATGGATCCACCTCCATGACCCAAACACCTCTCAAGAGGCCCAACCTCCCACAGTGGGGGTGAAATTTCAATGTGAGGTTTGAAGGGGTCAAACATCTCAACTAAAGTAGTTGTATCCTCAACACGTTCTATGGTTACTATGAGAGCTATAACTGAGAAAGCAGGAGAAAGCTGGGTCTCCCTCCATCTGGGTGCTTGTCCTAAAGGGGTGTTGTATGTGGTTACCTGTCAATCAAGAAATGTGAGACAATTCATAAAGAGGAACTGCTATGATTAGCTTCTTATTGGTGTCTCCTCTTCTTCCAGGTAACCCCAGACACCTGCATGTTCTGATTGGGACCTCAGTGGTCATCATCCTCTTCATCCTCCTCCTCTTCTTTCTCCTTCATCGCTGGTGCTGCAACAAAAAAAGTAAGTCTCACGAAGCAGAGGCCAGAGAGCTCAGGGCCATGTGGGGAAGCAGGATGGGAGCACTCAGGTGTGTGTTCCTCACAGACAGGATGGTCCCTGGCCCAAGGCAGCAGCCACAGAGGGAGGACTTTCTAGAGAGAGCACCAGACTCCCTGTCCCTGCCTTCAGCTCACAGACCATTGCCTGATTCTGAACTGTATCCTCATGTCCCCTGCAGCCACTCACATCCAGGAGAAGGTTCCATGACAGGCAGAAAGTGGGAGACAGAATCAATGGGATGGGAACTCAGAGCTATTCATGGGATGGGTCCTTGAGCTCAGAGAGATAGAATGTCTGAGTCTGCTGTTGGCAACTGAGGGACCTCAGGCTCCTATGGTCTCCCCCTGTATGTTGGTATCTGCTTATGAAATGAGGGCCCAGAAGTGCCCTCTGAGCTGTTTTGTTGACTTCCGTCTTCTACAGATGCTGTTGTAATGGACCAAGAGCCTGCAGGGAACAGAACAGTGAACAGGGAGGTAGGTGCTCCTCGGCCCAGCCTCGTGGCTAGTGTTATTCCCAAAGAGTCCTGGAAAATGTGAGCACCCTCCCTCACTCAGCATTTCCCTCTCTCCAGGACTCTGATGAACAAGACCCTCAGGAGGTGACATATGCACAGTTGAATCACTGCGTTTTCACACAGAGAAAAATCACTCGCCCTTCTCAGAGGCCCAAGACACCCCCAACAGATATCATCGTGTACACGGAACTTCCAAATGCTGAGCCCTGATCCAAAGTTGTCTCCTGCCCATGAGCACCACAGTCAGGCCTTGAGGGGATCTTCTAGGGAGACAACAGCCCTGTCTCAAAACTGGGTTGCCAGCTCCAATGTACCAGCAGCTGGAATCTGAAGGCGTGAGTCTGCATCTTAGGGCATCGCTCTTCCTCACACCACAAATCTGAACGTGCCTCTCCCTTGCTTACAAATGTCTAAGGTCCCCACTGCCTGCTGGAGAGAAAACACACTCCTTTGCTTAGCCCACAATTCTCCATTTCACTTGACCCCTGCCCACCTCTCCAACCTAACTGGCTTACTTCCTAGTCTACTTGAGGCTGCAATCACACTGAGGAACTCACAATTCCAAACATACAAGAGGCTCCCTCTTAACACGGCACTTAGACACGTGCTGTTCCACCTTCCCTCATGCTGTTCCACCTCCCCTCAGTCTAGCTTTCAGCCTTCTGTCAGCAGTAAAACTTATATATTTTTTAAAATAATTTCAATGTAGTTTTCCCTCCTTCAAATAAACATGTCTGCCCTCATGGTTTAGGTAATGGGACTCTTTTCTTGCCTAAGGCTTCCGGTGTTATCAGTACCATGTCCATATAATCCCATCTGTTCTCCACCGGGTTCTCACCTCTGGACTCTGAGCTTCTGGAAGCAGTGTGGAGCCTCATTTGTCTCTGGGACTCCAATTTCCATCCAAAGATGCAGCACATAGGAGGTTCCAAGGATCGGGAATCACATGAACAAGTGACATTGTTACTCTCTGCAGACCTGGAAAGCTGGCAGAGTCATTCCACGATGAAACATTTGTAGAGTCATAGGCCTTGTTAGTCTCATCTCCATGGGGACACATATCAACACATCATCTTTCATACTATAAATATACGGTCACTCCTCCGTATCTGTGGGGTTTACAGGTCTTTATTGAACAAAGTATAAATCAAAAATATTCAGAGAAAATATCCACAGAGTTCCAAAACTCATAACTATGTTGAATGGACACAAATGAAGCTGTGTGTAGGCTGTATCAGGAATTATAAGTAATCAAGAGATGATTTCATGTATACAGGAGGATGTGCATATGTTATTTGCAAGCGCTGTGCCATTTCATATAAGAGGCTTGAGCATCTACAGATTTTGGTATCTGAGTGGAGATCTCGAAACCAATCACCCACGAATAGTGAAGGATGACCGTATATGACTTTTATTTCTCAAATTTAAATATAAATCAAAAAATGTACAACTAGATAAAAACTAAGAAGTGTTTTTATAGTGTGAGTTAGATTTATTTTTTACTAGGTGTAACCCATTGGTTTAATATTATTTATTGAGAAGACATTCTATGCCACCTTAAACCACACGGCAGCCTTTGTCAACTCTAAAGGGACTGTGTGTACATGGATGTATTTTAGACAGTTTCTGCTAAGGGGCTGTCTGTGTCCACACACTTGATGATGCTACACTTTATGTAGCCTTATAGAACCCTTTAAATTTAGTAGCCAGAGCCCTCTAATTTGTTATTATAGGCTATTTGCTTTTTTTTTTCTTGAGGCGGAGTCTTGCTCTGTCGCCCAGGCTGGACTGCAGTGACACAATCTCAGCTCACTGCAACCTCCGCCTCCCAGGTTCAAGCGATTCTCGTGCCTCAGCCTCTTGAGTAGCTGGCGTTACAGGTGCCTGCCACCAGGCATGGCTAATTTTTGGATTTTTAGCAGAGACACGGTTTCACTATGTTGGCCAGGCTGCTCTCAATCCCCTCATCTCAGTTGATCCGCCCACCTCGGCTTCCCGACGTGCTGGGGAAACTTGATTTTCTATAGCATTATGTTACTGGATATTTCTGTAAAATTTAAAATGAGGGAGGCAGAGAGACAGAGAGAGATCAAACTCCAGAGTTGGGACTCTGGAATCTTGGGTCATGAGACAAATTTTAGATTAAACTACAAAACTCCAGAATTTACAGGTGTGGTTTTTGCTGATAAAGTACAATTCTAAGATTGTAAATAATTGCATAATCCTTCCCTGGGAATTTAAATCATTTTAACTGGTTCTGCTGTAATACTAGAAATACAAGCATGAAAAATTCTAATGGTTTATTAGTCACAATGACTCTGAAAACCTTAATAATACCTATTAAATATTTTGCATATTACACATGAAGAAGAGTTTGAATCTCAGATAAAAACAATAAAAATACATGAAAAGTCTTTCACGTTAGCACAGATTTTAGGCATCTCGTGTTCAGGAGGTTGGATCTGAGACGTGTTTTGAGTTGGTCATAGTGAAGGACGCTAGGTGTAAATTCTAGTGAGAACAATTTCCAGGAAGCCGTGTTCCGCTCTTGAGCGAGCACCCACTGGGCCTCATGCAAGGTAGAATGAGCCTGCGTACGTCACCCTCCCATGATGTGGTCAACATGTAAACTGCATGGGCAGGGCGCCAAATAACATCCTGTGCGCTGCTGAGCTGAGCTGGGGCACGGCCGCCTGTCTGCACCGGCAGCACCATGTCGCTCACGGTCGTCAGCATGGCGTGTGTTGGTGAGTCCTGGAAGGGAATAGAGGAAGGGAGTGTGGGGTTGGAGATCTGGGCCCAGAGGTGGAGATATAGGCCTGGAGGTGGAGTTGTGGGCCTGGAGTGGAGATCTGGGCCTGGAGTGGATATATGGGCCTAGAGATGGAGTGATGGGCCTAGAAGTGGAGATCTGGGCCTGGAGTGCCGATAGGAACCTGGAGGGGAGATAGGAGCCTGGAGTGGAGATATGGGCCTGGAGGTGGAGTTATAGGCCTATAGTAGAGATATGGGCCTGGAGTGGAGATTTGGGCCAGGAGTGGAGATATGGGCCTAGAGGTGGATATCTGGGCCTAGAGTGGAAATATGGGCCTAGGATGGAGATATGGGCCTGGTTGTGGAGATATGGGACTGGAGAGGAGATATGGGCCTAGAGTGGAGATATGGGCTTGGGGTGGAGATCTGGGCCTGGGGTGGAGATATGGGCCTGGAGGTGGAGTTACGGGCCTTCAGTAGAGATATGGGCCTGGGGTGGAGATATGGGCTTGGGGTGGAGATCTGGGCCTGGAGTGGAGATATGGGCCTGGAGGTGGAGTTACTGGCCTTCAGTAGAGATATGGGCCTGGTGTGGAGATATGGGCCTGGATTGGAGATATGGGCCTAGGTTGGAGATCTGAGCCTGGAGTGGAGATATGGGCCTGGATTGGAGATATGGGCTTACAGTGGAGATCTTGGCCTGGATTGGCGATATGGGCCTGGATTGGCGATATGGGCCTATGATGGAAATATCGGCCTGGAGTGGAGATATGGGCCTGGAGTGGAGATACAGGCCTAGGGTGGAAATATTGGCCTGGAGTGGAGATATGGGCTTGTGGTGGGGATATGGGCTTGTGGTGGGGATCTGGGCTTGGAGGCTGGGTCTCTGCACAGCCGACAGCCCTGTTCTTGGGTGCAGGTAGGCACTGAGGGTGAGTTTAACTTCAGTCCAGGAAGGGCCTGCCTACCAAGACTCACAGCCCAGTGAGGGCAGCAAGGGAGGGCTGGTTTGCCTGCAGATGGATCGTCCATCATGATCTTTCTTTCCAGGGTTCTTCTTGCTGCAGGGGGCCTGGCCACATGAGGGTGAGTCCTTCTCCAAACCTTAGGGTGTCATCTCCCCACATAAGAGGATTTTCCTGAAACAGGAGGGAAGTCCTGTCAGGGAGCCTCTCATAAACTAGGAAGAGGGGACCCTGGGGTGCTCGGCCCACAGTTCCGACCTCGCCTCCCTGGCCTTTCATTCCCTTGGCAGAGTCAAGTTCTGTGGGGACCAGGGTTAGACTGGGGTGCTCAAAGCTGGGGTGCGTGGTGGGGAAGTGGTAGGAACAGCAGATCCTCTGAGGACAAAGGTGTTACTCACACTTCAGCGTTTCCATGACGGTAGGGGCTGCAGTGTGGCTGCTGTCACTCCACCAGAAGAGGTGGGAAACCACAGCCATGGCCCTGACATTCCAAATCCTCTGATGGGGGCTCAGTTGCTTATTTTCATTCAGGCATCTGCTGATATTCCATTCTCAAAGACATGCCCTCCACCCCATGTCTACCCTGTGTTGTTTTATGTGAGTAATCTTACAGTATTAAAATCTAGTAGGAGTCTCTTACTCAGCACTTGCTCAAAGTTCTCAGCTGACACTTTTGTTGTAGGGAGACACCTTGTGTTTGCGGGATGGGTCCTTCCTTTAGCCCTGGGCACCAAGGTGTGATAGCAGCCATAGAAACTTGGAAAGCGAGGAGAATCTTCAGAGCACAGGGAGGGAGGGGTGGCTCCACATCCTCCTCTCTAAGGCGGTGCCTCCTTCTCCCCAAGGTGGTCAGGACAAGCCCTTGCTGTCTGCCTGGCCCAGCTCTGTGGTGCCTCCAGGACATGTGATTCTTCGGTGTCATTCTTATCTTGGGTTTAACAACTTCAGTCTGTAAAAGGAAGATGGGGTGCCTGGCACTGAGCTCTACAACAGAATATTCTGGAAGAGCCTTTTCATGGGCCCTGTGACCCCAGCACACACAGGGACGTACAGATGTCGGGGTTCACACCCACACTACCCCAGTGGGTGGTCGGCACCCAGCAACACCCTGGTGATCATGGCCACAGGTCAGAGGGCTCCTGTCTTGGATTCTCCTTTCCCACCTCCTGAATCCCAGAGCTTCTGGTGGGCGTGTCCTTGAGGGTCCCATCACCCAGGCCCTGACTATATTTGGGGTAAAGGGGGATTGAATACAGGGAAATGGGTGCTGTGGTGGGAAGAATAATTGTCCCCAGTGATGACTACATTCTAATCCCTGGAGTCTGTGACTATTTATGTTATAGGGGAAGGAACTGAAGGGGAAGATGGAGCTCAGGTTGTTGATGAGTTGACCTTGAGATGGGGAGACAGCCTGGACTGTCCCGCTGGGCTCAGTGTAATCACAAGGGTCCACATGAAAGGAGGAGGAAGAGGGGAGTGGGGATTAGAGCAGCGCAATGGGAGACTCCACCAGCTTTGAAGGTGGAGGAAGGCCAGGAGCCATGAATGCAGGTGGCCTGTAGAGGTTGGAAAAGTCAAGGAAATGATTCTCCAGAGTCTCCAGAGGGAACGAAGCCCTGCAGATGCCTTGATTTTAGCCCAGGAAAAACAGGGTCCTATTTCTGTCTCCAGTAGTGAAATGGGTCAGTGTGCTCTCTCCTGCTGCCATGCTTCTGATAATTTTCTACAGCAGCAACAGGAAACCAACACTGGAACCCAGGTCAAGGACAAGGTAAGAAACAACACAAGGATAGCCGGGTGTGGTGGCAGGCGCATGTAATCCTAGCGACTTGGGAGGCTGAGGGCAGGAGAATCACTTGAACCCAGGAGACAGAGGTTGCAGTGACCCTAGACCACACCACTTCACTCCAGCTGGGGTGAAGGAGTGAGACTCTGTCTCCATAATTAATTAATTAATTAAAGGAACCAAACAAGGGGAAGGTTGGCTACACCGAGATGAGCAAGTGTGGGATGATGATGCCACCACCAGGCTCCATCCACATAGGGAGGGGTTGATACTCCTCAAACCAGCACCAGGAGCCAGCCTATGGAAGCTGGCACCATGGAGAAGGCACAGGCATGGCAAGAGTGGCTCCCAGTCCCGACCAGGAACAGGGTGTGTGGACACTGGTGCCTGCCTTATTCATCAGTTCATACCTACTGCCAAGGATTCCAATTCATCCAAAAGAGATTGAACCAGGCTGATAAGAGGCTGGATGTGCAGCCTATCCTGGTTCCTCTTTCACCCCCACATAAACAGCAGGAAAGACATTAGTGTGAAATAGATACAACACCCCAAGAGATGAGGCTAAGCCCAGTGGGAAGGGAATCAGAGGCGACTAGAGACAGAGGGACAGAGAAGAGGGAGGGAGACAGATGGAAGGACCTGCACCAGGAGTTATGGGCACAGAAAAGAACATGAAGACACAGAGAGGAAGGAGAGAGACAGACACCAGCAAGGGGAAGCCTCACTCATTCTAGGTGCCATGGATGGGATGATAAAGAGAGACACCTTCTAAACTCACAACCTCTCTTCCTAGGAGTCCACAGAAAACCTTCCCTCCTGGCCCACCCAGGTCCCCTGGTGAAATCAGAAGAGACAGTCATCCTGCAATGTTGGTCAGATGTCAGGTTTCAGCACTTCCTTCTGCACAGAGAAGGGAAGTTTAACGACACTTTGCACCTCACTGGAGAGCACCATGATGGGGTTTCCAAGGCCAACTTCTCCATCGGTCCCATGATGGAAGACCTGGCAGGGACCTACAGATGCTACGGTTCTGTTACTCACTCCCCCATCAGTTGTCAGCTCCCAGTGACCCTCTGGACATCGTCATCACAGGTGAGAGTGTCCGGACATTCTTCTCATTGTCATTGGGATGCAGAGTGAATGATCCACGACTTGGAACCCCCAGGTAGTTGTAAGGAAGATGAGCTTGGTATTCTTATGGAGAGAGACTGACTTGGTGAGGTCTGTACCAACAGAGACAGAGAAACAGGAGACACAAGTACAGACCAGGTGTCATAACAGAGGACAGACACAGGGGCCATACCGGGAGTTAGAAAAGACAGAAGGAGTTAAAGGAGACAGACAGACAGACATGTCCCAGAGAGAGGTGTCCCTCCATGCTGACTTTGCTCAGAGACCTGGCACAGGTTAGAAGTTTCATTTCTGTTTTACCTCCACAAAGTGTTCTCTACCAGGAGAACCCAAGGACACCCATATTTCTGACCTGAGTTGGGCCCTGTGGCCTCAGGCCTTGTGGCACCTACAGATGCCGTGTTTATTCTGACACCTCTGCCTTCCATGTAATGGAGAGTAACCGTCCCAGGATATCATGGCCCCAGAACACCAACTCCTGTATGCTGTGTGAACTTGTGGTCTCCAGACTGGATTCTGAGGCTCACATTCCAAATAACCCCACATATGAAAGGATCACTGAGAGGCACAGAGAGAAATCAGGGACACCAAAAAGCAAAGACATAAACACACAGAGAATGAGCCAGAGGAAGGAGATTGAGAGACTCACAGACACATAAAGAGAGAGAAAAGAGGGCAGAGGAGTGGTGAGAATGATGGAAGGGAGCAGAGAAAAGCACTAAAATTAGACTCCTGAGGGAGAGGCACAAGGACATAGAAAGATGGAGATGTGGGGATGAATTGCAGAGATTCCAAAGAGAACTAGAGAGACCGAGAGGCAGAGCAAGACAGATGATAGATGGATAGATATAGATAGATGATAAATAGGTAGATGATAGATAATAGGTTAAAGATACATAGATGATGATTGATTGATTCATTAATAGATGAGACATAGAGATGATGATGATGAAGACAGATAGATAATACATAGAGATAGAGAGGCAGACAGAAGTCATAGAGAGAGAGATGATACATAGATATAGATAACAGATGATTGATGGATAGATAGACAAGTGATAGATACATAGATGATATATAGATATAGATGACAGGTAGAGAATTTGTAGATAGGCACCGAATAGATAAATAGATAGATCGATAGATAATAGATAGAAATATGCAGAAAGTTATGAACAGGACACAAAGTGAGAAACTTAGAATTTAAAAAAGTAACATCAAGTCAACCAATCCAAGGAGAGTCAGAGAGAATAAAACAATCCAAAAAGGGAAAACATATCTAGAGGTGTGGAAGCGAGGTCAGAGACCTAGAGAGACAGAGAAGGTGGAAGGAGGAAATAGACATGAAGAGAGATGGGGTGGAGGGTGAGAGAGAGAGAGAGAGAGAGCATTAGGTCATAGAGCAGGGGAGTGAGTTCTCAGCTCAGGTGAAGGGAGCTGTGACAAGGAAGATCCTCCGTAAGGAAAATGCCTCTTCTCCTTCCAGGTCTATATGAGAAACCTTCTCTCTCAGCCCAGCCGGGCCCCACGGTTCTGGCAGGAGAGAGCGTGACCTTGTCCTGCAGCTCCCGGAGCTCCTATGACATGTACCATCTATCCAGGGAGGGGGAGGCCCATGAACGTAGGTTCTCTGCAGGGCCCAAGGTCAACGGAACATTCCAGGCTGACTTTCCTCTGGGCCCTGCCACCCACGGAGGAACCTACAGATGCTTCGGCTCTTTCCGTGACTCTCCCTACGAGTGGTCAAACTCGAGTGACCCACTGCTTGTTTCTGTCACAGGTGAGGAAAGCCCATGGCTGTCCCATGTCCTATGATCCTAGAGCCTTAGCTGAGGAGCTTCCTGCTGAGGATGGAGAGAAGGATGAACAGATGCAGAGAGAAGACGAAGCTTGGGTGTGAGGGAGGGATCAGGGCACAGGATGGCAGACAGGGCACCTCCAAACCCTCCTACATGGCCTGCATGAAGGCCTGCGGCCAGGACTCCAGGCACCCAGGCAGATGGAGAAAGCGGTCAGGAGAGACCCAGAGGAGGGAGACTGGGCTCAGTTTGGGAAGATCAGAGGTTCCCTCAGCCCCTCAACATTACCCATTTCCCAGAAGCCCATCCTGGCCTCCCACCCACACAGGGATGTCATCACCTGCAACCCCTACACCCTTTACTTTTGTTTGAGAAATATTTATTGAGGATAAATATACCTATATAGCTTACCACCTTTAACATTTTTTTTTTGAGGCGGAGTCTAGCTCTGTCCCCTATGCTGGAGTGCATTGGCACAATCTCAGCTCACTGCAACTTCCGCCTCCTGGGTTCAAGCGATTCTCTTGCCTCAGCCACCTGAGTAGCTGGTGCTACAGGCGCGCACCACCATGCCAGGCTACTTTTTGTATTTTTAGTAGAGAGGGGGTTTCACCATGTTGGTCAAGCTGGTCTCGAACTCCTGACCACGTGATCCACCCGCATCAGCCTCCCAAAGTGCTGGGATTACAGGCATGAGCCACCACGCCCAGCCACATTTACCATTTTTAAGTGTAAAGTCTAGTGGTCATAAATACATTAATATATATATATATACACATATTTTTTTTTACCCTCCACCCTTTTCTTCCTGGCCTCTGGTAGCCACCATTCTACTCTCTACCTTCATGAGATCCACCTTTTAGCTCCTGTATATGGGTAAGAAATGGGAATCTTTGTAATGACCTCCAGTTCCATCCATGTGGCTGCAAATATCAGGATGTTTTTCTTTCTATGGAAGAGTAGTCTCCACTATGCAAATGTACCACATTCTCTCTATCCATTCACCCACTGATGGGCAGGTAGGTTGACTCCTCATCTTGGCTACTGTGAAGAGTGCTGCACCAATCATACGAGTGCAGATATCACTTCGATATATTGATTTACTTTCCTTTGGATATAAACCCAGTAGTGAAATTGCTGGATACTATGAAAGTTCTCTTTTTAGTTTTTCGTTTGTTGTTTTGTTTTTGTTTTTGAGACAGTTTCCCTCTGTGCCCAGGCTGGAGTACAAGTGATGTCATCTTGGCTCATTGCAACCTCTGCCTCCTGGGTTCAAATGATTTTCCTGCCTCAGCCTCCCTAGTATCAGGGATTATAGGCGCACGCCACCATGCCTGGCTACTTTTTGTTTTTTTTAGTATAGATGCGGTTTCCCCATGTTGGCTGGGCTGCTCTCAAACTCATGACCTCAACTGAGGTGCCCGCCTCGGTCTCCCAAAGTGCCGGGATTACAGGCATGATCCACCTCACCCAACCTCTTTTTAGTTCTTTAAAGGACTTCCACACTTTTCTCCGTAATGGCTGTACTAATTTACACTCCTACCAACAGGATACCAGGATTCTCCTTTCTCTAACACCTTGCCAGCATTTCTTTTGCCTGTCTTGCAGCTAAAAGCCATTTTATTTTATTTCATTTTATTTTGAGATGGAGTTTCGCTCTTGTCACCCAGGCTGAGTGCAGTGGTGCGATCTCGGCTCACCACAACCTCCACCTCCCAGGTTCAAGCGATTCTCCTGCCTCAGCCTCCCGAGTAGCTGGAATTACAGGCACACGCCACCACGCCCGACTAATTTTTGTATTTTTAGTAGAGACAGTGTTTCTCCATGTGGGTCAGACTGGTCTCAAACTCCCGACCTTATGAGATTCACCCACCTCAGGCTCTCAAAGTTCTAGGATGACAGACGTGAGCCACCACGCCCGGCCTAAAAGCCATTTTAATGGGGTGAGATGAAAACTCACTTTGATTTTAATTTGTGTTTCTCTGATGATGAGTGATACTGAGCACTTTTTCGTATGTGGGGAAATTTCATGTCTTTTGCTCCTGTTTCAATTAAATCATTTGTTTTATTGAGTTGTTTGAGCTTCTTATATTTCTAGTTATTAATCCCATCTCAGATGCATAGTTTGCACATATTTGCTCCCAATCTGTGGGTTGTCTCTTCACTTTGTTGGTTTATTTTTAGCGGTGCAGAAGTTGCTTAGTTTGAGGTAATCCCAATGGTCTATTTTTGCTTCGATTACTTGTGTTTTGAAGGTTTAAAACAAAATGTCTTCCTTCAGACAAACGTCCTGGAGCATTTCCCCAATATTTTCTTCTACGTGTTTCATAGGTTCAGGCCTTAGACTCACATCTTTAATCCATTTTCATTTGATTTTTGTGTATAGTGACAGGCAGAGGTGCAGTTTCATTCCTCTGCATGTCGATGTCCAGGTTTCCCTGCACTGTTTATTGAAAAGACTGTCCTTTCCTGATTGTGAGTTCTTGGCACCTTTGTCAAAGTCCATTGGATGGGCTGGGCATGGTGGCTGACACCTGCAATTTCAGCACTTTGGGAGCCCGAGGTGGGTGGATCACCTGAGGCCAAGAGTTCAAGATTAGTCTGGCCAACGTGATGAAACATCGTCTCCACTAAAAATATAAAAATTAGCTGAGCATGGTGGTCAGCACCTGTAATACCACTACTCAGGAGTTTGAGGCAAGAGAAGTGATTGAACCCAGGAGGCTGTGGTGGCAGTGAACCGAGATTGCACCTCTGCACTCCAGCCTGGGTGACAGAGCAAGACTCCATCTCAAAAGAAAAACAAAAAATACATTGGAGGTAAATGCATGGATTATATCTGTGTTATTCATTCTGCTCCGTTGTTCTATGTGCCTTTCTTCATGCCAACGTCATGCTGTCTTGCTTACTACAGCTCTGTAACATATTTTGAGATCAGGTAGTGTGATGCTCCTGTTTTCTCTTTATACCTTGAAGTCTCAAGACAGTAGCCGTCACATACAAAAATTACGGAAAAAAGGATCCCAGGACTCCCAGGGCCCAATATTAGATAACAGAGTGTTGGCCATGAACCAACCTCAAAGATTTCCACTGAGTAGAGGACAGACACCCTCATTTCCTCACCTCTCTCCTGTCTCATGTTCTAGGAAACCCTTCAAATAGTTGGCCTTCACCCACTGAACCAAGCTCCAAAACCGGTGAGTACAGAACCCTCTTATATCCGCTTTTGGAAACCTGGGGAGGTGGAAACCTTGGATTCAGGCGTTGACTCAGCATCTCACAGCTCTGACATTGTACGCCTGTCTTCTACCATCTCCAAACTCCAGATACTCCAACAGCGAAAGGGATCTGGACCCAAAACAGGGCTCTGTGAAATCTCTTAATCTCTCATTTTATGGAGCTGAGATCTCCTACAAGCTAGAAAAATGATTGGCAATCTGACATCCTTCTCAGGAAAAATGCAATGTTTGTTCTGCCTGCATTCCTAACTGGAGGATAAATTCCTGGGGGCTTGAGAGAGGGAAGGGTAGGGAACATTTGATGAGGGCGAGGTGTTTTAGAGAAGTTCCACTTGCCCAGGAATGAATTACTGTTGGTCATGAAGCAACCCTGGCTGACTCAGCAGAGCAAGAGCTTTGCCTTAACAGAGAACGGAGCTCATGCACGCACACTTCGACTCACTGACTCATTCAGCCACGGCCCCATGCTCAGGCCGTGGAAAAGGCAATTCCCAGCACTGCAGGAGGCCAAGGCGGGTGGATCACTTGAAGTCAGGAGTTCCAGACCAGCCTGGCCAAAATGGTGAAACCCTGTCTCTATGAAAAATACAAAAATTAGCCGAGCATGGTGGTGCATCCCTGTAATCCCAGCTCCTACTCTTGAGGATGAAGCAGGAGAACGACTTCAACCCAGGAGGTGGAGGTTGCAGTGAGTGGAGATTGCATCACTGCACTCCAGCCTGGGTGACACAAGGAGACTCCGTCTCAAAAAATAAAAATAAGAAATGCATAAATATAATAAAACACACACGAATGACAAAGGCACCTGAATTCCAATCATCATTTTTGTATTTCTCTATAATTACTTCTTTGATCCTTTGTCTTATCCATTAGGCAATGAGCCTAAAACCTCTTCCGTATTTGGCTTTCTGTGAGCATGAGACCATATAGAAAATGTGAAAGCCTGCTGAATCCTCCAGCACAGATCGTGGAATAGAGAAAGTGCTCTGTTCATCACAAAAAAAACTTGCCCTCTCACTCAAATCCCCCACTTCACCCCTACTTCCAATCACCTGTGGAGATTCAGATAGACCATGGGGAGGTAAACATTAATACTCCTTGGAGTGAGTCCAGATCTTGGAATGAGAGATCAGCACCAGCACTAGCTCCTGCTCCCCTTTCCTACTAATTCACAGGAGGACAGGTGGTATTGAAGCAATAGATGGTGGAGGGGGTGGTCCTTCCCCCAGCCTCTCAGGTAGAACAGCAGCCTAACATGTGTCTCCCGAGATCACAAAGAGTAGGACGTTTCACAGGGGCTTCAACACGATTTCCTGGCTGTTGGACATAAGATAACTCTATTTCGCTTTTTTATCTTGATTTCACTTTTGTTTCCTTTCCTTGGAGAACGCAAGTTGTTTGACTCAAGAATGCTGTGGATGTAGAAATCCTAAAGCACATTCGCTGTGTGTCAATCCCAGTGCAGTCTTCCCAGAAAAGACCCTAAACACCTCCTAGACTGCACCTGGGCCTACGCCAATTCCTATCACTCACCGTCACTCCAGGGAGACAGAACACACAGAGAATACGTTACATAGGCAGGTTCATTACTAACAGATAAGCAGCGAGTGAAAACAGAAGCCTACATTTCAATGTGAGCCAGTCCCTCAAGGCTCAGAAAAGCTGCTCGGGACATATGGAGTCACCCCATTTGCAGTGTAGCTGGGGGAAGCCAGAAAGCAGCCCAGCCTGGGTTTTGTACCCTGGAGCCACAGGAAGCACTCAGCTAAAGCACTGCATGACGTCCTCCTCCAGGAAGAACAGGAAGACAGCCCAGGCTGCTCTGGGACGTTCCTCCTGATCTCAGGACGTTGCTGTCTTAGTCCATTTTTGTTGCTCTAAAGGAACACTTGAGCCTGGGCAACTTCTAAAGAAAAGAGATTGGTTTGCCTCACCGTTCTGCAGGCTGTACTGGAAGCATGGCACCAGCATCTATTTCTCGTGATGGCCTCAGGCTGCTCCCACTCTGGCAGAAGGGAAGGAGGGTCTGTCTGTGCAGAGACCACAGAGATCACACGGCAAGAGAGGGAGCAAGGGGGAGGGGGAGCGATGGAGCTTCCAAGTTCTTTTGAACAACCAGCTCTCCAGGAACTAATAGAGGGGGAACTTGCTAACCCCGTCTCCTTGGGACAGCATTGATCTGTTCATGATGGATCCACCTCCATGACCCAAACACCTCTCAAGAGGCCCAACCTCCCACAATGGGGGTGAAATTTCAATGTGAGGTTTGAAGGGGTCAAACATCTCAACTAAAGTAGTTGTGTCCTCAGCACATTCTATGGTTACTTTGAGAGCTATAACTGAGAAAGCAGGAGAAAGCTGGGTCTCCCGCCATCTGGGTGCTTGTCCTAAAGAGGTGTTTTACGTGGTTACCTGTCAATCAAGAAATGCGAGACAATTCATAAAGAGGAACTGCTATGATTAGCTTCTTATTGGTGTCTCATCTTCTTCCAGGTAACCCAAGACACCTGCACGTTCTGATTGGGACCTCAGTGGTCATCATCCTCTTCATCCTCCTCCTCTTCTTTCTCCTTCATCGCTGGTGCTCCAACAAGAAAAGTAAGTCTCACGAAGGAGAGGCCAGAGAGCTCAGGGCCATGTGGGGAAGCAGGATGGGAGCACTCAGGTGTGTGTTCCTCACAGGTAGGATGGTCCCTGGCCCAAGGCAGCAGCCACAGAGGCAGGACTTTCTAGAGAGGGCACCAGACTCCCTGTCCCTGCTTTCAGCTCACAGACCGTTGCCTGATTCTGAACTGTATCCTCATGTCCCCTGCAGCCACTCACATCCAGGAGAAGGTTCCATGACAGGCAGAAAGTGGGAGACAGAATCAATGGGATGGGAACTCAGAGCTATTCATGGGATGGGTCCTTGAGCTCAGAGAGATAGAATGTCTGAGTCTGCTGTTGGCAACTGAGGGACCTCAGGCACCTATGGCCTCCCCCTGTTTGTTGGTATCTGCTTATGAAATGAGGACCCAGAAGTGCCCTCCAAGCTCTTTTGTTGACTTCCGTCTCCTACACATGCTGCTGTAATGGACCAAGAGCCTGCAGGGAACAGAACAGCGAATAGCGAGGTAGGTGCTCCTCGGCCCAGCCTCGTGGCTAGTGTTATTCCCAAACAGTCCTGGAAAACGTGAGCACCCTCCCTCACTCAGGATTTCCCTCTCTCCAGGACTCTGATGAACAAGACCCTCAGGAGGTGACATACGTACAGTTGGATCACTGCGTTTTCACACAGAGAAAAATCACTCGCCCTTCTCAGAGGCCCAAGACACCCCCAACAGATACCAGAGTGTACACGGAACTTCCAAATGCTGAGTCCAGATCCAAAGTTGTCTCCTGCCCATGAGCACCACAGTCAGGCCTTGAGGGGATCTTCTAGGGAGACAACAGCCCTGTCTCAAAACTGGGTTGCCAGCTCCCATGTACCAGCAGCTGGAATCTGAAGGCGTGAGTCTGCATCTTAGGGCATCGCTCTTCCTCACACCACAAATCTGAATGTGCCTCTCTCTTGCTTACAAATGTCTAAGGTCCCCACTGCCTGCTGGAGAGAAAACACACTCCTTTGCTTAGCCCACAATTCTCCATTTCACTTGACCCCTGCCCACCTCTCCAACCTTACTGGCTTACTTCCTAGTCTACTTGAGGCTGCAATCACACTGAGGAACTCACAGTTCCAAACATACAAGAGGCTCCCTCTTAACACGGCACTTAGACACGTCCTGTTCCACCTTCCCTCATGCTGTTCCACCTCCCCTCAGAGTATCTTTCAGCCTTCTGTCAGCAGTAAAACTTATATATTTTTTAAAATAATTTCAATGTAGTTTTCCCTCCTTCAAATAAACATGTCTGCCCTCATGGTTTCGGTAATGGGACTCTTTTCTTGCCTAAGACTTCCATTATCATTACCATGTCCACATAACCCCATCTGTTCTCCACTGGGTTCTCACCCCCGGACTCTGAGTTTCTGGAAGCAGGGTGGAGCCTCATTTGTCTCTGGGACTCCTATTTCCATCCAAAGATGTAGCACATAGGAGGTTCCAAGGATCGTGAATCACATGAACAAGTGATATTCTTACTCTCTGCAGACCTGGAAATCTGGCAGAGTCATTCCAAGATGAAACATTTGTAGAATCATAGGCCTTGTTAGTCTCATCTACACAGGGACACATATCAACACATCATCTTTCACACTATAAATATACAGTCACTCCTCCATATCTGTGGGGTTTACAGTTCTTTATTGAACCGAGTATAAATCAAAAATATTCAGAGAAAGTATCCACAGAGTTACAAAAAGCAGAACTGTGTTGAATGGACACAAATGAAGCTGTGTGTAGGCTGCATCAGGAATTATAAGTAATCTAGAGATGATTTCATGTATACAGGAGGATGTGCATAGGTTATTTGCAAACTCTGTGCCATTTCATATAAGAGGCTTGAGCATCTACAGATTTTGGTATCTGAGTGGAGATCTCGAAACCAATCACCCACGAATAGTGAAGGATGACCGTATATGACTTTTATTTCTCAAATTTAAATATAAATCATAAAAAATGTACAACTAGATAAAAACTAAGAAGTGTTTTTATAGTGTGAGTTAGATTTATTTTTTCCTAGGTATAACCCATTGGTTTAATATTATTTATTGAGAAGACATTCTATGCCACCTTAAACCACACGGCAGCCTTTGTCAACTCTAAAGGGACTGTGTGTACACGGATGTACTTTAGACACTGTTTCTGCTAAGGGGCTCTCTGTGTCCACACTCTTGATGATGCTGCACTTTATGTAGCCTTATAGAACCCTTTAAATTTAGTAGCCAGAGCTCTCTAATTTGTTATTATAGGCTATTTGCTTTTTTTTCTTGAGGCGGAGTCTTGCTCTGTCGCCCAGGCTGGACTGCAGTGACACAATCTCAGCTCACTGCAACTTCTGCCTCCCAGGTTCAAGCGATTCTCATGCCTCAGCCTCTTGAGTAGCTGGCGTTACAGGTGCCTGCCACCAGGCACGGCTAATTTTTGGATTTTTAGCAGAGACACGGTTTCACTATATTGGCCAGGCTGCTCTCAAACTCCTTATCTCAGTTGATCCGCCCACCTCGGCTTCCCAACGTGCTGGGGAAACTTGATTTTCTATAGCATTATGTTACTGGATATTTCTGTAAAATTTAAAATGAGGGAGGGAGAGAGACAGACGGAAAACAAACTCCAGAGTTGGGACTCTGGAATCTTGGGTCATGAGACAAATTTTAGATTAAACTACAAAACTCCAGAATTTACAGGTGGGGTTTTTACTGATAAAGTACAATTCTAAGATTGTAAATAATTGCATAATCCTTCCCTGGGAATTTAAATCATTTTAACTGGTTCTGCTGTAATACTAGAAATACAAGCATGAAAAATTCTAATGGTTTATTAGTGACAATGACTCTGAAAACATTAATAATACCTATTAGATATTTTGCATATTACACAGGAAGAAGAGTTTGAATCTCAGATAAAAACAATAGAAATACATGAAAAGTCTTTCATGTTAGCACAGATTTTAGGCATCTCGTGTTCGGGAGGTTGGATCTCAGACGTGTTTTGAGTTGGTCATAGTGAAGGACACTAGGTGTCAAATTCTAGCGAGAACAATTTCCAGGAAGCCGTGTTCCGCTCTTGAGCGAGCACCCACTGGGCCTCATGCAAGGTAGAAAGAGCCTGCGTACGTCACCCTCCCATGATGTGGTCAACATGTAAACTGCATGGGCAGGGCGCCAAATAACATCCTGTGCGCTGCTGAGCTGAGCTCGGTCGCGGCTGCCTGTCTGCTCCGGCAGCACCATGTCGCTCTTGGTCGTCAGCATGGCGTGTGTTGGTGAGTCCTGGAAAGCAATAGAGGGAGGGAGTGAGGGGATGGAGATCTGGGCCCAGAGGTGGAGATATAGGCCTGGAGGTGGAGTTATGGGCCTGGAGTGGAGATCTGGGCCTGGAGTGGATATATGGGCCTAGAGATGGAGTGATGGGCCTAGAAGTGGAGATCTGGGCCCAGAGGTCGAGATATAGGCCTGGAGGTGGAGTGATGGGACTGTAGTGGAGATCTGGGCCTGGAGTGGAGATAGGAACCTGGAGGGGAGATAGGAACCTGGAGGGGAGATATGGGCCTGGAGGTGGAGATATGGGCCTGGAGTGGAGTCATGGGCCTGGAGGTGGAGTTATGGGCCTGCAGTAGAGATATGGGCCTGAAGTGGAGACATGGGCCTGGAGTGGAGATATGGGCCAGGAGTGGAGATATGGGCCTAGAGGTCGATATCTGGGCCTGGAGTGGAGATATGGGCCAGGAGTGGAGATATGGGCCTAGAGGTCGATATCTGGGCCTGGAGAGGAGATATGTGCCTAGGATGGAGATACGGGCCTGGGTGTGGAGATATGGGACTGGAGAGGATATATGGGCCTGGAGTGGAGATATGGGACTGGAGAGGAGATATGGACCTGGAGTGGAGATAAGGGCCTGGATTGGAGATATGGGCCCAGGGTGGAGATCTGAGCCTGGATTGGAGATATGGGCCTGGATTGGCGATATGGGCTTAGGGTGGAAATATCGGCCTGGAGTGGAGATATGGGCCTGGAGTGGAGATATGGGCTTGAGGTGGGGATATGGACCTGGAGGCTGGGTCTCTGCACAGCCGACAGCCCTGTTCTTGGGTGCAGGTAGGCACTGAGGGTGAGTTTACCTTCAGCCCAGGAAGGGCCTGGCTACCAAGACTCACAGCCCAGTGGGGGCAGCAAGGGTGCCCTGGTTTGCCTGCAGATGGGTCATCCATCATGATCTTTCTTTCCAGGGTTCTTCTTGCTGCAGGGGGCCTGGCCACATGAGGGTGAGTCCTTCTCCCAACCTTCGGGTGTCATCTCCCCACATAAGAGGATTTTCCTGAAATGGGAGGGAAGTCCTGTCAGGGAGTCTCTCATAAACTAGGAAGAAGGGACCCTGGGGTGCTGGGCCCACATTTCTGACCTTGCCTCCCTGGCCTTTCATTCCCTTGGCAGAGTCAAGTTCTGTGGGGACCAGGGTTAGACTACGGTGCTCAAAGCTGGGGTGTGTGGTGGGGAAGTGGTAGGAACAGCAGATCCTCTGAGGACAAAGGTGTTACTCACACACTTCAGCGTTTCCATGACGGTAGGGGCTGCAGTGTGGCTGCTGTCATTCTACCAGAAGAGGTGGGAAAACCACAGCCATGGCCCTGACATTCCAATCCTCTGATGGGGACTCAGTTGTTTATTTTCGTTCAGGCATCGGCTGATATTCCATTCTCAAAGGACATGCCCTCCACCCCATGTCTACCCTGTGTTGTTTTATGTGAGTAATCTTACAGTATTAAAATCTAGTAGGAGTCTCTTACTCAGCACTTGCTCAAAGTTCTCAGCTGACACTTTTGTTGTAGGGAGACACCTTGTGTTTGCGGGATGGGTCCTTCCTTTAGCCCTGGGCACCAAGGTGTGATAGCAGCCATAGAAACTTGGAAAGCGAGGAGAATCTTCAGAGCACAGGGAGGGAGGGGCGGCTCCACATCCTCCTCTCTAAGGCGGTGCCTCCTTCTCCCCACGGTGGTCAGGACAAGCCCTTGCTGTCTGCCTGGCCAAGCCCTGTGGTGCCTCCAGGACATGTGATTCTTCAGTGTCATTCTTATCTTGGGTTTAACAACTTCAGTCTGTAAAAGGAAGATGGGGTGCCTGTCCCTGAGCTCTACAACATAATATTCTGGAACAGCCTTTTCATGGGCCCTGTGACCCCAGCACACGCAGGGACCTATACATGTCGGGGTTCACAACCACACTACCCCAGTGGGTGGTCGGCACCCAGCAACCCCCTGGAGATCACGGTCACAGGTCAGAGGGCTCCTGTCTGGGATTCTCCTTGTCCCACCTCCTGAATCCCAGAGCTCCTGGTGGGCGTGTCCTTGCGGGTCCCATCATGCAAGTCCTGACTGTATTTGGGGTAAAGGGGGATTGAATACAGGGAAATGGGTGCTGTGGTGGGAAGAATAATTGTCCCCAGTGATGACTACATTCTAATCCCTGGAGTCTGTGACTATTTATGATATAGGGGAAGGGACTGAAGGAGAAGATGGAGCTCAGGTTGTTGATGAGTTGACCTTGAGATGGGGAGACAGCCTGGACTGTCCTGATGGGCTCAGTGTAGTCACAGGGGTCCACATGAAAGGAGGAGGAAGAGGGGAGTGGGGATTACAGCAGCATAATGGGAGTCTCCATCAGCTTTGAAGGTGGAGGAAGTCCAGGAGCCATGAATGCAGGTGGCCTATAGAGGCTGGAAAAGTCAAGGAACTGATTCTCCTGAGTCTCCAGAGGGAACGAAGCCCTGCAGGTGCCTTGATTTTACCCACGACAAACAGGGTCCGATTTCTGTCTCCAGAATTGGAAGGGGTTAGTGTGCTCTCTCCTGGTGCCATGCTTCTGATAATTTTCTACAGCAGCAACAGGAAACCAACACTGGAACCCAGGTCAAGGACAAGTTAAGAAACAACACAAGGATAGCCAGGCATGGTGGCAGGTGCATGTAATCCTAGCGACTTGGGAGGCTGAGGGCAGGAGAATCACTTGAACCCAGGAGACAGAGGTTGCAGTGAGCCTAGACCACACCACTTCACTCCAGCCTGGGCAAAGGAGTGAGACTCTGTCGCCAAAATTAATTAATTAATTAAAGAAACCAAACAAGGAGAAGGTTGGCTACACTGAGATCAGCAAGGCTCAGATGATGATGCCACCACCAGGCTCCATCCACATAGGGAGGGGTTGATACTCCTCCAACCAGCACCAGGAGCCAGCCTATGGAAGCTGGCACTGGCATGGCAAGAGTGGCTCCCAGTCCCTACCAGGAACAGGGTGTGTGGCCACTGGTGCCTGCCTTACTGATCAGTTCATACCTCCTGCCAAGGATTCCAATTCGTCCAAAAGAGATTGAACCAGGCTGCTAAGAGCCTGGATGTGCAGCCTATCCTGGTTCCTCTTCCACCCCCACATAGACAGCAGGAAAGACATTAGTTCGAAATAGATACAACAGCCCAAGAGATGAGGCTGAGCCCAGCGGCAAGGGAATCAGAGGCTACTAGAGACAGAGGGACAGAGAAGAGTGAGGGAGACAGATGGAAGGACCTGCACCAGGAGTTATGGGCACAGAAAAGAACATGAAGACACAGAGAGGAAGGAGAGAGATAAGACACCAGGAAGGGGAAGCCTGACTCAATCCAGGTGCCATGGATGGGATGATAAAGAGAGACACCTTCTAAACTCACAACCTCTCTTCCTAGGAGTCCACAGAAAACCTTCCCTCCTGGCCCACCCAGGTCGCCTGGTGAAATCAGAAGAGACAGTCATCCTGCAGTGTTGGTCAGATGTCATGTTTGAACACTTCCTTCTGCACAGAGAGGGGATGTTTAACGACACTTTGCGCCTCATTGGAGAACACCATGATGGGGTCTCCAAGGCCAACTTCTCCATCAGTCGCATGACGCAAGACCTGGCAGGGACCTACAGATGCTACGGTTCTGTTACTCACTCCCCCTATCAGGTGTCAGCTCCCAGTGACCCTCTGGACATCGTGATCATAGGTGAGAGTGTCCAGACTTTCTTCTCATTGTCATTGGGATGCAGAGTGAATGATCCAGGAATTGGAGACCCAGGTGGCTGTAAGGAAGATGAGCTTGGTATTCTTATGGAGAGAGACTGACTTGGTGAGGTCTGTGCCAACAGAGACAGAGAAACAGGAGACACAAGTAGAGACCAGGTGTCATAACAGAGAACAGACACAGGGGCCATACCGGGAGTTAGAAAAGACAGAAAGAGTTAAAGGAGACACACAGACAGACATGTCCCAGAGAGAGGTGTCCCTCCATGCTGACTTTGCTCAGAGACCTGGCACAGGTTAGAAGTTTCATTTCTGTTTTACCTCCACAAAGTGTTCTCTACCAGGAGAACCCAAGGACACCCATATTTCTGACCTGAGTTGGGCCCTGTGGCCTCAGGCCTTGTGGCACCTACAGATGCCATGTTTATTCTGACACCTCTGCCTTCCATGTAATGGAGAGTAATCGTCCCAGGATATCATGGCCCCACAACACCAACCCCTGTATGCTGTGTGAACTTGTAGTCTCCAGACTGGATTCTGAGGCTCATATTCCAAATAAGCCCACTTATGAGAGGATCAGTGAGAGGCACAGAGAGAAATCAGGGACACCAAAAAGCAAAGACATAAACACACAGAGAATGAGCCAGAGGAAGGAGATTGAGAGACTCACAGACACATAAAGAGAGAGAAAAGAGGGCAGAGGAGTGGTGAGAATGATGGAAGGGAGCAGAGAAAAGCACTAAAATTAGACTCCTGAGGGAGAGGCACAAGGACATTGAAAGATGGAGATGTGGGGATGAATTGCAGAGATTCCAAAGAGAACTAGAGAGACCGAGAGGCAGAGCAAGACAGATGATAGATGGATAGATATAGATAGATGATAAATAGGTAGATGATAGATAATAGGTTATAGATACATAGATGATGATTGATTGATTCATTAATAGATGAGACATAGAGATGATGATGATGAAGACAGATAGATAGATAATACATAGAGATACAGAGGCAGACATAGAGAAATCATAGAGAGAGAGAGATGATACATAGATATAGATAATAGATGATTGATGGATAGATAGACAATTGATGGATAAATAGATGATATATAGATATAGATGACAGGTAGAGAATTTGTAGATAGGCACCGAATAGATAAATAGATAGATCGATAGATAATAGATAGAAATATGCAGAAAGTTATGAACAGGACACAAAGTGAGAAACTCAGAATTAAAAAAAGTAACATCAAGTCAACCAATCCAAGGAGAGTCAGAGAGAATAAAACAATCCAAAAAGAGAAAACATATCTAGAGGTGGGGAAGTGAGGTCAGAGACCTAGAGAGACAGAGAAGGTGGAAGGAGGAAATAGACATGAAGAGCGATGGGGTAGAGGGTGAGAGAGAGAGAGAGAGAGCATTAGGTCATAGAACAGGGGAGTGAGTTCTCAGCTCAGGTGAAGGGAGCTGTGACAAAGAAGATCCTCCCTGAGGAAACTGCCTCTTCTCCTTCCAGGTCTATATGAGAAACCTTCTCTCTCAGCCCAGCTGGGCCCCACGGTTCTGGCAGGAGAGAATGTGACCTTGTCCTGCAGCTCCCGGAGCTCCTATGACATGTACCATCTATCCAGGGAAGGGGAGGCCCATGAACGTAGGCTCCCTGCAGGGCCCAAGGTCAACGGAACATTCCAGGCTGACTTTCCTCTGGGCCCTGCCACCCACGGAGGGACCTACAGATGCTTCGGCTCTTTCCATGACTCTCCATACGAGTGGTCAAAGTCAAGTGACCCACTGCTTGTTTCTGTCACAGGTGAGGAAAGCCCATGGCTGTCCCATGTCCTATGATCCTAGAGCCTTAGCTGAGGAGCTTCCTGCTGAGGATGGAGAGAAGCATGGACAGATGCAGAGAGAAGACGCAGCCTCGGTGTGAGGGAGGGATCAGGGCACAGGATGGCCGACAGGGCACCTCCAAACCCTCCTACATGGCCTGCATGGAGGCCCACGGCCAGGGCTCCAGGCACCCAGGCAGATGGAGAAAGCGGTCAGGAGAGACCCAGAGGAGGGAGACTGGGCTCAGTTTGGGGAGATCAGAGGTTCCCTCAGCCCCTCAACCTTACCCATTTCCCAGAAGCCCATCCTGGCCTCTCACCCACACAGAGATGTCATCACCAGCAACCCCTACACCCTTTACTTTTCTTTGAAGAAATATTTATTGAGGATAAATATACCTATATAGCTTACCACTTTTAACATTTTTTTTTGAGGTGGAGTCTAGCTCTGTCCCCTATGATGGAGTGCAGTGGCACAATCTCAGCTCACTGCAACCTCCGCCTCCTGGGTTCAAGCGATTCTCCTGCCTCAGCCACCTGAGTAGCTAGTGCTACAGGCACGCACCACCACGCCAGGCTACTTTTTGTATTTTTAGTAGAGAGGTGGTTTCACCATGTTGGTCGAGCTGGTCTCGAACTCCTGACCACGTGATCCACCCGCATCAGCCTCCCAAAGTGCTGGGATTACAGGCATGGGCCACCAGGCCCAGCCACATTTACCATTTTTAAGTGTAAAGTCTAGTGGTCATAAATACATTTTTATATATATATATATATACATTTTTTTTACCCTCCACCCTTTTCTTCCTGTCCTCCAGTAGCCACCATTCTACTCTCTACCTTCATGAGATCCACCTTTTAGCTCCTGTATATGGGTGAGAAATGGGAATCTTTTTAATGACCTCCAGTTCCATCCATGTGGCTGCAAATGACAGGATGTTATTCTTTCTATGGATGAGTAGTCTCCACTGTGCGTATGTACTACATTCTCTCTATCCATTCACCCACTGATGGGCAGGTAGGTTGACTCCTCATCTTGGCTACTGTGAACAGTGCTGCACCAATCATACGAGTGCAGATATCACTTCGATATGTTGATTTACTTTCCTTTGGATATAAACCCAGTAGTGAAATTGCTGGATACTATGAAAGTTCTCTTTTTTTTTTTTTTTTCTTTTTTGAGAAAGAGTTTCCCTCCTTAGCCCAAGCTGGAGTCAAAGTGGTGCAACCTTGGCTCATTGCAACCTCCGCCTCCTGGGTTCAAATGATTTTCCTGCCTCAGCCAACCTAGTAGCTGGGATTACAGGTGCACACCACCATGCCTGGCTACTTTTTGGTTTTTTTAGTATAGATGCGGTTTCCCCATGTTGGCTGGGCTGCTCTCAAACTCATGACCTCAACTGAGGTGCCCGCCTCAGTCTCCCAAAGTGCCGGGATTACAGGCATGATCCACCTCACCCAACCTCTTTTTAGTTCTTTAAAGGACTTCCATACTTTTCTCCGTAATGGCTGTACTAATTTACACTCCTCCCAACAGGGTACCAGGGTTCTCCTTTCTCTACCACCTTGCCAGCATTTCTTTTGCCTGTCTTGCAGCTAAAAGCCATTTTATTTTATTTCATTTTATTTTGAGATGGAGTTTTGCTCTTCTCACCCAGGCTGGAGTGCAGTGGCGCTATCTCGGCTCACCACAACCTCCACCTCCCAGGTTCAAGCGATTCTCCTGCCTCAGCCTCCCGAGTAGCTGGAATTACAGGCACACGCCACCACGCCCTACTAATTTTTGTATTTTTAGTAGAGACAGCGTTTCTCTATGTGGGTCAGACTGGTCTCAAACTCCCAACCTTATGAGATTCACCCACCTCAGGTTCTCAAAGTTCTAGGATGACAC
This sequence comes from Homo sapiens, assembly GCF_000001405.40. NCBI lineage: Eukaryota > Metazoa > Chordata > Mammalia > Primates > Hominidae > Homo > Homo sapiens. Next base: position 131,056 of record NT_187641.1, on the reverse strand, counting down.
AAGTGAGCCACCTCACCCGGCCTAAAAGCCATTTTAATGGGGTGAGATGAAAACTCACTTTGATTTTAATTTGCGTTTCTCTGATGATGAGTGATACTGAGCACTTTTTCGTATGTGGGGAAATTTCATGTCTTTTGCTCCTTTTTCAATTAAATCATTTGTTTTATTGAGTTGTTTGAGCTTCTTATATTTCTAGTTATTAATCCCATCTCAGATGCATAGTTTGCACATATTTGCTCCCAATCTGTGGGTTGTCTCTTCACTTTGTTGGTTTATTTTTAGCAGTGCTGAAGTTGCTTAGTTTGAGGTAATCCCAATGGTCTATTTTTGCTTCGATTACTTGTGTTTTGAAGGTTTAAAACAAAATGTCTTCCTTCAGACAAACGTCCTGGAGCATTTCCCCAATATTTTGTTCTACGTGTTTCATAGGTTCAGGCCTTAGACTCACATCTTTAATCCATTTTCATTTGATTTTTGTGTATGGTGACAGGTAGAGTTGCAGTTTCATTCCTCTGCATGTAGATGTCCAGGTTTCCCTGCACTGTTTATTGAAAAGACTGTCCTTTCCTGATTGTGAGTTCTTGGCATCTTTGTCAAAGTCCATTGGATGGGCTGGGCTTGGTGGCTAACACCTGCAATTTCAGCACTTTGGGAGCCCGAGGTGGGTGGATCACCTGAGGCCAGGAGTTCAAGATTAGTCTGGCCAACGTGATGAAACATCGTCTCCACTAAAAATATAAAAATTAGCTGAGCATGGTGGTCAGCACCTGTAATACCACTACTCAGGAATTTGAGGCAAGAGAATGATTGAACCCAGGAGGCTGAGGTTGCAGTGAACCGAGATTGCACCTCTGCACTCCAGCCTGAGTGACAGAGCAAGACTCCATCTCAAAAGAAAAAATAAAAAACCATTGGATGTAAATGCATGGAATATATCTGTGTTATTCATTCTGCTCCGTTGTTCTATGTGCCTTTCTTTATGCCAATGTCATGCTATTTTGCTTACTACAGCTCTGTAACATATTTTGAGATCAGGTAGTGTGATGCTCCTGTTTTCTCTTTATATCTTGAAGTCTCAAGACAGTGGGTGTCATATAAAAAAATTATGGAAAAAAGGATCCCAGGACTCCCAGGGCTCAATATTAGATAAGAGAGTGTTGGCCATGAACCATCCTCAAAGATTTCCACTGAGTGGAGGACAGACACCCTCATTTCCTCACCTCTCTCCTGTCTCATGTTCTAGGAAACCCTTCAAATAGTTGGCCTTCACCCACTGAACCAAGCTCCAAAACCGGTGAGTACAGAACCCTCTTATATCCGCTTTTGGAACCCTGGGGAGGTGGGAACCTTGGATTCAGGCGTTGACTCAGCATCTCACAGCTCTGACATTGTACACTTGTCTTCCACCATCTCCGAACTCCAGATACTCCTACAGCGAAAGGGATCTGGGCCCAACACAGGGCTCAGTGAAATCTCTTCATCTCTCATTTTATGGAGCTGAGACCTCCTACAAGCTAGAAGAATGATTGCCAATCTGACATCCTTCTCAGGAAAAATGCAATGTTTGTTCTACCTGCATTCCTAACTGGAGGATAAATTCCTGGAGACTTGAGAGAGGGAAGGGAAGGGAACATCTGATGAGGGCAAGGTGTTTTAGAGAAGTTCCACTTGCCAAGGAATGAGCTCCTGTAGGTCATGAAGCAACCCTGGCTGACTCCGCAGAGAAAGAGCCTTGCCGTAACAGAGAACAGAGCTCATGCACGCACACTTCGACTGACTGACTCATTCAGCCACGGCCCCATGCTCAGGCTGTGCAGTGTGGAACCTTTTCCTATTGTTGCCATAACAAATTTCCACAAGATTCGTGGGTGAAAACAAAACGGTTTTTTAATTATCTTACAGTGCTGTAGCTCAAAGTAGGAAGTGCATCTTACTGGGCTAAAATCAAGGTGACAGCAAGGCTGCCTTCCCTCTGAGGATTCCAGGCACGAATCTGCTTCTCACTTGTCCCAGCTTCTAAAGGCTCCCAGTTCCTTGGCTCCTGGTCCCCTTCCTCCTTCCTCAAAGCCCACAAAGACTGGTCACATCTCACATGGCATCACTCAGTGCCTTCTTCCTTACCACACCTCTTTCTCTGAGTGCTGCTCTCCCTTCTTCCTCATCTTTTGAAAACTTGGGGATTCTATTGGGTTCACCAAGATGAAAATCCCTCATAATCTCCTGGAAATCATCCAGGATACCCTTGTTTTAAGTTCAGCTGATTAGCAACCATAATTCCATCTGCAATCTTCATTCCTCCTTTCCATGTAAAATAACATATTCACAAGCTATGGAGGCTAGGACAGGGACATTTTGGGGTGGGACAGCATTCTCCTGCCTTCCACAAACAGTGAACAAGATGCATTTGGCCTCTGCCCTTGGGACACTGATATTGCAGATGGTTAAATGGGAGGGCAGAAAATGAACGCACAAGTGGATCTATAAATGAATGGTCCATTGGGAAGCATCTGTGCATGAAATCTATTTTTTGTTTGTTCTTTTGTTTATTGAGACAGAGTCGCCCTCTGTCTTCCAGGCTACAGTGCAGTGTCACGATCTTGGCTCACTGCAACCTGCGTCTCCTGGATTCAAGTGATTCTCCTGCCTCCGCCTCTCGAGTAGCTGGGATTACAGGCAACTGCCACCGTGCCCGGCTAATTCTTTTTGTATATTTTTTGTAGAGAGGATGTTTCACCACGTTGGCCAAGCTTGTCTGAAACTCCCAACCTCAAGTGATCCGACCGTCTCAGCATGCCAAAGTAATGGGACTACAGGCGTGAGCCACTGTGCCCAGCCAGAATTCAAAATCAATAATAGATAATGCTGAGTGTATGATTTCAGGTGACAAAGAAGGTCTCACTATTCAGATATTTGTGACATTAATGAAAAACACGGAATGAACCCCTGAAAGATTGGCGGAAGGATTTTGCACACACAGCTGTCAGCCATGAAGGCACAAAGGTGAAAACAATCTGATGTGGAAGGAAGAGGCTCTGACTCAAATGCTGGGAATGAGGTGGGGAGAATGACAAGACGACTGTAGAGAGACGGAGAGCACACTGGGTACACAGGAAACTAAGGAGCAACAAGGAGTGTGTGTTTGACACTCACAGCCATTGGATTCACCTCGGGGTAACCAGGAATCCCTACATGATTAATATGACTGACATGAAAATAAGGGAGGCCCAGGTGCATAACTGGAATCTAGGAGACCGTGGAAAAGGCAATTGCCGCCCCACTGGTGAAATGTGGTGCTGATTTAGACACTAAATGAATGAAGTAGATGGATATAAGATATGTTTGTGAGGTAGAATCATTGACTGGAAAGGCTTACTGGGTTTGATTTTCCTACTTGTTTAATCCTCGCTTAATTAATTTCTTTCTGAGATTTATTCATCCTACACATAAATCAATACCTGGCAAAGGAGTGACAGATATATGAGTGGTGGTGGAAATGAAGAGACTTATTATAGCATAATATACAAGTCTGTGAACAGTGGCTCACGCCTGTAACCTAGCACTGCAGGAGGCCAAGGTGGGTGGATTCCATGAAGTCAGGAGTTCCAGACCAGCCTGGCCAACGTGGTGAAACCCTATCTCTACTAAAAATACAAAAATTAGCCGAGCACGATGGTGCATCCCTGTAATCCCAGCTCCTATTCTGGAGGATGAAGCAGGAGAATGACTTCAACCCAGTAGGTGGAGGTTGCAGTGAGTGGAGATTGCATCACTGCACTCCAGCCTGGGGGACACAAGGAGACTCTATCTCAAAAAATAAAAATAAGAAATACATAAATATAATAAAACACACACGAATGACAAAGGCACCTGAATTCCAATCATCGTTTTTCTATTTCTCTATAATTACTTCTTTGATCCTTTATCTTATCCATTAGGCAATGAGCCTAAAACCTCTTCCCTATTTGGCTTTCTGTGAGCATGAGATCATATAGAAAATGTGAAAGCCCGCTGAATCCTCCAGCACAGATCCTGGAATAGAGAAAGTGCTCTGGTCATCACAAAAAAAACTTGCCCACTCACCCAAATCCCCCACCTCACCCCTACTTCCAATCACCTGTGGAGATTCAGATAGACCATGGGGAGGTAAACATTAACACTCCTTGGAGTGAGTCCAGATCTTGGAATCAGAGATCAGCGACAGCACTAGCTCCTGCTCCCCTTTCCTACTAATTCACAGGAGGACAGGTGGTTTTGAAGCAATAGATGGCCGAGGGGGTGGTCCTTCCCCCAGCCTCTCGGGTAGAACAGCAGCCTAATATGTGTCTCCCGAGATCACAAAGAGCAGCAGGTTTCACACGGGCTTCAACACTATTTCCTGGCCGTTTGACATAAGAGAATTCTATTTCGCTTTTTTTATCTTGATTTCACTTTTGTTTTCTTTCCTTGGAGAATGCAAGTTGTTTGATTCAAGAATGCTGTGGATGTAGAAACCCTAAAGCACATTCGCTGTGAATCAATCCCAGTCCAGTCTTCCCAGAGAAGACTCTAAACACCTCCTGGACTGCACCTGGGCCTATGCCAATTCCTATCACTCACCGTCACTCCAGGGAGACAGAACACACAGAGAATACGTTACATAGGCAGGTTCATTACTAACAGATAAGCAGCGAGTGACAACAGAAACCTATATTTCAATGTGACCCAGTCCCTCAAGGCTCAGAAAAGCTCCTCGGGACATATGGAGTCACCCCATTTGCAGTGTAGCTGCGGGAAGCCAGAAAGCAGCCCAGCCTGGGTTTTGTACCCTGGAGCCACAGGAAGCACTCAGCTAAAGCACTGCATGACGTCCTCCAGGAAGAACAGGAAGACAGCCCAGGGTGTTCTGAGACGTTCCTCCTGATCTCAGGAAGTTGCTGTCTTAGGCCATTTTTGTTGCTCTAAAGGAACACTTGAGCCTCGGTAACTTCTAAAGAAAAGAGATTGGTTTGCCTCACCGTTCTGCAGGCTGTACTGGAAGCATGGCACCAGCATCTATTTCTCGTGACGGCCTCAGGCTGCTCCCACTCTGGCAGAAGGGAAGGAGGGTCTGTCTGTGCAGAGACCACAGAGATCACACGGCAAGAGAGGGAGCAAGGGGGAGGGGGAGTGATGGAGCTTCCAAGCTCTTTTTAACAACCAGCTCTCCGGGAACTAATAGAGGGGGAACTTGCTAACCCCGTCTCCTTGGGACAGCATTGATGTGTTCATGATGGATCCACCTCCATGACCCAAACACCTCTCAAGAGGCCCAACCTCCCACAGTGGGGGTGAAATTTCAATGTGAGGTTTGAAGGGGTCAAACATCTCAACTAAAGTAGTCGTATCCTCAGCACGTTCTATGGTTACTATGAGAGCTATAACTGAAAAAGCAGGAGAAAGCTGGGTCTCCTGCCATCTGGGTGCTTGTCCTAAAGAGGTGTTTTATGTGGTTACCTGTCAATCAAGAAATGCGAGACAATTCATAAAGAGGAACTGCTAAGATTAGCTTCTTATTGGTGTCTCATCTTCTTCCAGGTAACCCCCGACACCTGCACATTCTGATTGGGACCTCAGTGGTCATCATCCTCTTCATCCTCCTCTTCTTTCTCCTTCATCGCTGGTGCTCCAACAAAAAAAGTAAGTCTCACGAAGCAGAGGCCAGAGAGCTCAGGGCCATGTGGGGAAGCAGGATGGGAGCACTCAGGTGTGTGTTCCTCACAAACAGGATGGTCCCTGGCCCAAGGCAGCAGCCACAGAGGCAGGACTTTCTAGAGAGGGCACCAGACTCCCTGTCCCTGCCTTCAACTCACAGACCGTTGCCTGATTCTGAACTGTATCCCCATGTCCCCTGCAGCCACTCACATCCAGGAGAAGGTTCCATGACAGGCAGAAAGTGGGAGACAGAATCAATGGGATGGGAACTCAGAGCTATTCATGGGATGGGTCCTTGAGCTCAGAGAGATAGAATGTCTGAGTCTGCTGTTGGCAACTGAGGGACCTCAGCCACCTATGGTCTCCCCCTGTATGTTGGTATCTGCTTATGAAATGAGGACCCAGAAGTGCCCTCCGAGCTGTTTTGTTGACTTCCATCTTCTACAGATGCTGCGGTAATGGACCAAGAGTCTGCAGGAAACAGAACAGCGAATAGCGAGGTAGGTACTCCTCGGCCCGGGCTCGTGGCTACTGTTATTCCCAAAGAGTCCTGGAAAATGTGAGCACCCTCCCTCACTCAGCATTTCCCTCTCTCCAGGACTCTGATGAACAAGACCCTCAGGAGGTGACATACACACAGTTGAATCACTGCGTTTTCACACAGAGAAAAATCACTCGCCCTTCTCAGAGGCCCAAGACACCCCCAACAGATATCATCGTGTACACGGAACTTCCAAATGCTGAGTCCAGATCCAAAGTTGTCTCCTGCCCATGAGCACCACAGTCAGGCCTTGAGGGCGTCTTCTAGGGAGACAACAGCCCTGTCTCAAAACCGGGTTGCCAGCTCCCATGTACCAGCAGCTGGAATCTGAAGGCGTGAGTCTGCATCTTAGGGCATCGATCTTCCTCACACCACAAATCTGAATGTGCCTCTCTCTTGCTTACAAATGTCTAAGGTCCCCACTGCCTGCTGGAGAAAAAACACACTCCTTTGCTTAACCCACAGTTCTCCATTTCACTTGACCCCTGCCCACCTCTCCAACCTAACTGGCTTACTTCCTAGTCTACTTGAGGCTGCAATCACACTGAGGAACTCACAATTCCAAACATACAAGAGGCTCCCTCTTAACGCAGCACTTAGACACGTGTTGTTCCACCTTCCCTCATGCTGTTCCACCTCCCCTCAGACTAGCTTTCAGTCTTCTGTCAGCAGTAAAACTTATATATTTTTTAAAATAACTTCAATGTAGTTTTCCATCCTTCAAATAAACATGTCTGCCCCCATGGTTTCGGTAATGGGACTCTTTTCTTGCCTAAGGCTTCCGGTGTTATCAGTACCATGTCCATATAATCCCATCTGTTCCCCACTGAGTTCTCATCCCCGGACTCTGAGTTTCTGGAAGCAGGGTGGAGCCTCATTTGTCTCTGGGACTCCAATTTCCATCCAAAGATGTAGCACATAGGAGGTTCCAAGGATCACGAATCATATGAACAAGTGATACTCTTACTCTCTGCAGACCTGGAAAGCTGGCAGAGTCATTCCACAATGAAACATTTGTAGAATCATAGGCCTTGTTAGTCTCATCTCCATGGGGACACATATCAACACATCATCTTTCATAATATAAATATACGGTCACTCCTCCATATCTGCGGGGTTTACAGGTGTTTATTGAACCAAGTATAAATCAAAAATATTGAGAGAAAGTATCCACAGAGTTTCAAAAAGCATAACTATGTTGAATGGACACAAATGAAGCTGTGTGTAGGCTGTATCAGGAATTATAAGTAATCTAGAGATGATTTCATGTATACAGGAGGATGTGCATAGGTTATTTGCAAACGCTGTGCCATTTCATATAAGAGGCTTGAGCATCTACAGATTTTGGTATCTGAGTGGAGATCTCAAAACCAATCACCCACGAATAGTGAAGGATGACCGTATATGACTTTTATTTCTCAAATTTAAATATAAATCATAAAAAATGTACAACTAGATAAAAACTAAGAAGTGTTTTTATAGTGTGAGTTAGATTTATTTTTTCCTAGGTGTAACCAATTGGTTTAATATTATTTATTGAGAAGACATTCTATGCCACCTTAAACCACACGGCAGCCTTTGTCAACTCTAAAGGGACTGTGTGTACATGGATGTATTTTAGACACTGTTTCTGCTAAGGGGCTCTCTGTGTCCACACTCTTGATGATGCTGCACTTTATGTAGCCTTATAGAACCCTTTAAATTTAGTAGCCAGAGCCCTCTAATTTGTTATTATAGGCTGTTTGCTTTTTTTTTCTTGAGGCGGAGTCTTGCTCTGTCGCCCAGGCTGGACTGCAGTGGCACAATCTCAGCTCACTGCAACCTCCGCCTCCCAGGTTCAAGCGATTCTCGTGCCTCAGCCTCTTGAGTAGCTGGCGTTACAGGTGCCTGCCACCAGGCACGGCTAATTTTTGGATTTTTAACAGAGACACGGTTTCACTATATTGGCCAGGCTGCTCTCAAACTCCTTATCTCAGTTGATCCGCCCACCTCGGCTTCCCAACGTGCTGGGGAAAACTTGATTTTCTATAGCATTATGTTACTGGATATTTCTGTAAAATTTAAAACGAGGGAGGGAGAGAGACAGACAGAGAGCAAACTCCAGAGTTGGGACTCTGGAATCTTGGGTCATGAGACAAATTTTAGATTAAACTACAAAACTCCAGAATTTACAGGTGTGGTTTTTGCTGATAAAGTACAATTCTAAGATTGTAAATAATTGCATAATCCTTCCCTGGGAATTTAAATCATTTTAGCTGGTTCTGCTGTAATACTAGAAATACAAGCATGAAAAATTCTAATGGTTTATTAGTCACAATGACTCCGAAAACATTAATAATACCTATTAGATACTTTGCATATTACACAGGAAGAAGAGTTTGAATCTCAGATAAAAACAAAAAAAATACATGAAAAGTCTTTCATGTTAGCACAGATTTTAGGCATCTCGTGTTCGGATAAAAATACATGAAAAGTCTTTCACGTTAGCACAGATTTTAGGCATCTTGTGTTCGGGAGGTTGGATCTGAGACGTGTTGTGAGTTGGTCATAGTGAAGGACGTGAGGTGCCAATTCTAGTGAGAACAATTTCCAGGAAGCCGTGTTCCGCTCTTGAGCAAGCATCCACTGGGCCTCATGCAAGGTAGAAAGAGCCTGCGTACGTCACCCTCCCATGATGTAGTCAACATGTAAGCTGCATGGGCAGGGCGCCAAATAACATCCTGTGCGCTGCTGAGCTGAGCTGGGGCGCGGCCGCCTGTCTGCACCGGCAGCACCATGTCGCTCATGGTCGTCAGCATGGCGTGTGTTGGTGAGTCCTGGAAAGGAATAGAGGGAGGGAGTGCCACATCCTCCTCTCTAAGGTGGCGCCTCCTTCTCCCCCAGGTGGTCAGGACAAGCCCTTCCTCTCTGCCTGGCCCAGCCCTGTGGTGTCTGAAGGAGAACATGTGGCTCTTCAGTGTCGCTCTCGTCTTGGGTTTAACGAATTCAGTCTGTCCAAAGAAGACGGGATGCCTGTCCCTGAGCTCTACAACAGAGTATTCCGAAACACCGTTTTCATAGGCCCTGTGACCCCAGCACATGCAGGGACCTACAGATGTCGGGGTTCACACCCACACTTCCTCACTGGGTGGTCAGCACCCAGCAACCCCCTGGTGATCATGGTCACAGGTCAGAGGGCTCCTGTCTGGGATTCTCCTTGTCCCACCTCCTGAGTCCCAGAGCTTCTGGTGGGAGTGTCCACCAGCGTCCCATCATCCAGACCCTAACTGTATTTGGGGTAAAAGGGGATTGAATACAGGGAAATGGGTGCTGTGGTGGAAAGAATAATTGTCCCCAATGATGACTGCATTCTAATCCCTGCAGTCTGTGACTATTTATGTTATAGGGGAAGGCACTGAAGGGGAAGATGGAGCTCAGGTTGTTGAGTTGACCTTGAGATGGGGAGACAGCCTGGACTGTCCTGCTGGGCTCAGTGTAATCACAAGGGTGCACATGAGAGGAGAAGGAAGAGGGGAGTGGCGATTAGAGCAGTGCAATGGAAGTCTCCATCAGCTTTGAAGGTGGAGGAAGGCCATGAGCCATGAATGCAGGTGGCCTATAGAGGCTGGAAAAGTCAAGGAACTGATTCTCCTGGGTCTCCAGAGGGAACGCAGCCCTGCAGATGCCTTGATTTTAGCCCTCAAAAAACAGGGTCCGATTTCTGTCTCCAGAAACGGAAGGGGTCAGTGTGCTCTCTCCTGCTGCCATGCTTCTGATAATTTTCCACAGCACCAACAGGAAACCAACACTGGAACCCAGGTCAAGGACAAGATAAGAAAGGACACAAGGATAGCCGGGCGTGGTGGCAGGTGCATGTAATCCTAGCAACTCAGGAGGCTGAGGGCAGGAGAATCACTTGAACCCAGGAGACAGAGGTTGCAGTGAGCCTAGACCACACCACTTCACTCCAGCCTGGGTGAAGGAGTGAGACTCTGACTCCAAAATTAATTAATTAATTAAAGAAACCAAACAAAGAGAAGGTTGGCTACACCGAGATCAGCAAGGGTGGGATGATGATGCCACCACCAGGCTCCATCCACATAGGGAGGGGTTGATACTCCTCAAACCAGCACCAGAAGCCAGCCTATGGAAGCTGGCACCATGGAGAAGGCACAGGCATGGCAAGAGTGGCTCCCAGTCCCCACCAGGAACAGGGTGTGTGGACACTGGTGCCTGCCTTACTGATCAGTTCATACCTTCTGCCAAGGATTCCAATTCGTCCAAAAGAGATTGAACCAGTCTGCTAAGAGCCTGGACGTGCAGCCTATCCTGGTTCCTCTTCCACCCCCACATAGAAGCAGGAAAGACATTAGTTCGAAATAGATACAACAGCCCAAGAGATGAGGCTGAGCCCAGCGGCAAGGGAATCAGGAGCTACTAGAGACAGAGGGACAGAGAAGAGGGAGGGAGACAGATGGAAGGACCTGTACCAGGAGTTATGGGCACAGAAAAGAACATGAAGACACAGAGAGGAAGGAGAGAGATAAGACACCAGCGAGGGGAAGCCTCACTCATTCTAGGTGCCATGGATGGGATGATAAAGAGAGATGCCTTCTAAAGTCACAACCTCTCTTCCTAGGAGTCCACAGAAAACCTTCCCTCCTGGCCCACCCAGGTCCCCTGGTGAAATCAGAAGAGACAGTCATCCTGCAATGTTGGTCAGATGTCATGTTTGAGCACTTCCTTCTGCACAGAGAGGGGAAGTTTAATGACACTTTGCGCCTCACTGGAGAGCTCCATGATGGGGTCTCCAAGGCCAACTTCTCCATCGGTCGCATGACGCAAGACCTTGCAGGGACCTACAGATGCTACGGTTCTGTTCCTCATTCCCCCTATCAGTTGTCAGCTCCCAGTGACCCTCTGGACATCGTGATTACAGGTGAGAGTGTCTGGACATTATTCTCATTGTCACTGGGACACAGAGTGAATGATCCACGACTTGGAGGCCCAGGTGGTTATAAGGAAGATGAGCTTGGTATTCTTATGGAGAGAGACTAACTTGGTGAGGTCTGTACCAACAGAGACAGAGAAACAGGAGACACAAGTACAGACCAGGTGTCATAACAGAGGACAGACACAGGGGCCATACAGGGAGTTAGAAAAGACAGAAAGAGTTAAAGGAGACACAGACAGACATGTGCCAGAGAGAGGTGTCCTTCCATGCTGACTTTGCTCAGAGACCTGGCACAGGTTAGAAGTTTCATTTCTGTTTTACTTCCACAAAGTGTTCTCTACCAGAAGAACCCAAGGACACCCATATTTCTGGCCTGAGTTGGGCCCTGTGGCCTCAGGCCTTCTGGCACCTACAGATGCCGTGTTTATTCTGACACCTCTGCCTTCCATGCAATGGAGAGTAATCGTCCCAGGATATCATGGCCCCAGAACATCAACCCCTGTATACTGTGTGAACTTGCGGTCCCCAGACTGGATTCTGAGGCTCACATTCCAAATAACCCCACATATGAGAGGATCACTGAGAGACACAGAGAGAAATCAGGGACACCAAAAAGCAAAGACATAAACACACAGAGAATGAGCCAGAGGAAGGAGATTGAGAGACTCACAGACACATAAAGAGGGAGAAAAGAGGGCAGAGAAGTGGAGAGAACAATGGAAGGGAACAGAGAAAAGCACTAAAATTAGAGTCCTGAGGGAGAGACACAAGGACATAGAAAGATGGAGATGTGGGGATGAATTGCAGAGATTCCAAAGAGAACTAGAGAGACCGAGAGGCAGAGCAAGACAGATGATAGATGGATAGATATAGATAGATGATAAATAGGTAGATGATAGATAATAGGTTATAGATACATAGATGATGATTGATTCATTCATTGATTAATCGATGATACATAGAGATGATGAAGATGAAGATAGATAGATAATACATAGAGATAGAGAGGCAGACAAAGAGAAATCATAGAGAGAGAGAGACGATACATAGATATAGATAATAGATGATTTTTGGATAGACAATTGATAGATAAATAGATTATATATAGATATAGATGACAGGTAGAGAATTTGTAGATAGGCACCAAATAGATAAATAGATATATCGATAGATAATAGATAGAAATATGCAGAAAGTTATGAACAGGACACAAAGTGAGAAACTCAGAATTTAAAAAAAGTAACATCAAGTCAACTAGTCCAAGGAGAGTCAGAGAGAATAAAACAATCCAAAAAGGGAAAACATATCTAGAGGTGAGAAAGTGAGGTCAGAGACCTAGAGAGACAGAGAAGGTGGAAAGAGGAAATAGACATAAAGAGAGATGGTGTGGAGGGTGAGACAGAGAGAGAGAGCATTAGGCCATAGAGCAGGGGAGTGAGTTCTCAGCTCAGGTGGGAGGGGAGTTGTGACAAGGAAGAACCTCCCTGAGGAAACTGCCTCTTCTCCTTCCAGGTCTATGTGGGAAACCTTCTCTCTCAGCCCAGCCGCGCCCCATGGTTAAGGCAGGAGAGAGCGTGACCTTGTCCTGCAGCTCCCGGAGCTCCTATGACATCTACCATCTATCAAGGGAGGGGGAGGCTCATGAACTTAGGTTCCCTGCAGTGCCCAAGGTCAATGGAACCTTCCAGGCCAACTTTCCTCTGGGCCCTGCCACCCACGGAGGGACCTACAGATGCTTCGGCTCTTTCCGTGACTCTCCCTACGAGTGGTCAGACCTTAGTGACCCACTGCTTGTTTCTGTCACAGGTGAGGAAACCAGTCTGTTCCCCAAATAGTGGGACTCAGATGGACTACAATGGCCACATTCAGGGGAGCCTCAGATGGAGGGGGTGGCCATGGGGGTGTCAGCCAGAGATGCTGGACAGAAGAGACACAAAGCAAACATACAGAAAGAGGCATAGACAGACAGACAGAGCGAGGCAGACAGATCACATTAGGGTTTGGGGTGGTAACTGCAACCCTACCTGAAGCTTGCAGATAGAGCACAGGCCACATAAACCACTTCCCAGTCTTTGTACAGAAGCCCACCTGGGACACATGTAAACAGCATCAATGCTGACTCAGGAGCATGAAAGGCCGGGCTCAGATTGGAAAGACTAGAGGTAGCATTGGCCGCCCGCCATTGCCCATTTCCAGAAGCCCCCACCTCTCACCAAAGAGTGATTTCCACATGGGGGGCACAGATGCAACCATCGTTGGGGGAGCCCCAATGTCTCTTGATGGGAGGCATTTTCCACCCTAGATGTTTTTTGCTCTCTCCACACCTTGGAGACTCAGTGGGGGAGTCTTCTCTGGGGACTCGGGGAGGGCCTCCCTGGGACTCGCAGGATTTCCAAGCTAGATGACAACATGACAGGTGGAAACAGGCCCATTCCTTCGCCAGGGGCCCCAAGCTCCATCCCAGGAGATGAGAAGAGGCTCTTCTCATTGGTCAGTGGATCCCTGAGGGGACAGAGGCTCAGCACTGAAGGCTGAGAAGGATCTGCCACTTCGCTCAGTGGCCTCAAGCCAGACATCTTCCCTACAGACTTGCAGTGATTCTCCATCAGCATTTAGGGCTGTGGCCACCAACCTGGGTGTTGGTCTGTAGGAACTTTTCATTTCTGACCTTCCATAACTGAGTTCTCTTCCTAAATGTGGAATGCCTTGTACTCCATGTTACTCTCTCCCCAGAAAGAATGTGTGGCTTGTCTGCTCTCCAGCCCTGTCATGGAGATTGATAATCCTTAGGGAGCAAGAGGAGAGGGAAAGAACAAAGTATGAGACCACCTAGGTGCTACTGGTTGAGGTTCCATTTGCCAGTGAAGGGACTTCACTCAGCCGAGGGGGCAACTCAGGGAAGTCAGCCGAGGGAGGGCATTAGAGTAGAGAGAACTGAGCTCACCCAGTAAATGACCCCTTCACTAACTCATTCATCTAATATTTATTTCACACCTACCATCAGTTCTCTCTGTTTCATGGCCAGGAGTAGACAGCACGGCCAAGCTCCTGGGTTCATGATGCTCACATTGCTGTGGGGTGGGAGAGAGAGGCAGAACATGAATGAATGAATGAGAGAATGAATGAATGAGTGAATGATGGAATGAGTGAATGAATGAATGAATGAATGTATGAATTAGTGAGTGAATCCTTAGCACTTGGTGAAAGTGCCATGCACAGAATGAAATGAATGAACGTGGAACGTTGTCATTTGGAGTGTACAGGAGGGAACGTCTCACTGAGACCTCATCAGAGAGATCACATTTAAACTCCGATCTTAGAGACAAGAGGGAGTGAGCCCTGGGGAGTGTGTTGAAAGGAACTTTCATGGACTTAGGACATTGGGGATGACCCTAATGTGAGAATGAGCTTGGTGTGTTCCAAGAAGTCCATGGACCTGCCATATGGTGAGGGCTGGTCAGAATCCAGAGAGATTTCTAAATGCCCTTGTGCTTGTAAGGAAAGTGAGTCCTGTGGTTGGGAGTGGACTTATACCTTGGGTCAGGTCCAGCAATTATCTTTCTAAATCCTCTCTAATTGCCTGAACCACTTCTATCAACAACTGAGAAAAGAGGAGTGTTAAACACCCCACTGTGGCCGTGGATTTGCCTACCTGTCCATTTATTTCCGCGACTCTTCCTCCATGTATATTTGCAGGAATATTACTGGGAGTGGTTAAGTGTAAACTGATTATATATTCCTGGTAAATTTAAAATGCTATAAATTTACCTGCTTTTTTCCTACATTTTATGCTTAATGTTTTCCGCTGATTTTTCCCAAAGACTAATTTTGTCTAATTTTAATATAGTTATACCACATTTCTAACAGTGATTGCTTGGTATATTTCTACATTGTTTAATTTCAAACTCCATGAATTGTTAACATTGAGATGTGTCCTTTGTAAATTTCAAACAATTCGCCTTAGAAAGTAAGACTTTCTGACAATCTTTTGTTCATGTTTGAGCAGTTCTTCCAATCATATTTTTGTTATTATTACGTTGTGTTTTCCTGATTCCCTTTTTTTCCCACTGACTTCTGTGGTTTTCTATTTCAAACATTCTATTTTTGATCTATGTCGTTTAGGAATACATATATGGTGTACTCATCCTGAAGTTGTTACATATTTTTAAAATTGAAATTAATCATTTCAGAGATTAAACTGCAAATATAAAAACATATTTCCACTCTTCCTGTGTAAGAACAGGATTTTAGAGCATATTTAGTACATATGTTTGTATTTACTTATATGATGTTTTGTTTTGTGGTATACATAATTCTATCTTTTTCAGAAATTACACAGGGGCATGTTTTCATACACTATCGTATGGTCCATATTCATTTTTGGCATAGCCATATTTTTAGTTCTTCCTCTGCTCTTAGTTATTGTCAGAATCTTCGACACCCCATCTGGTTTCACTTTCTTTATCTTTGAGGCACGGTCATCAGAATTTCCTTTAGGGTCAGTGAGAAAAGCTTTCTTTGCCCTTTTGTCTTTCAGTTCTGTTTCTTTCCTGCGTTGATCTTGGACAGTAACTGTACTATGTAAGGAATTGTCGGTGGCTGGCGACGGTATCTTAGCTGGGTAAAGATGCTATTCTACTGGCTTATGTTTTCCTTTTTTCTGTGGGGAAGACAATGCTTGGCTCCCTATAAATCCTTACCAGCTGATCCTTTTCCTCTGGCTAATTTTAAGGGTTGGTTGTGCTTTTATGCTGCTTTTCTGTAATGTTGAACGTGAGGTGTGTTTACTTCATTCTGCCTGGCATTCACTGGATTTCTTGAACCTGTGGATTGATGGATGTGTCTACTTCCTCCAAATAATCAACAATTGCCTCTTTAAAGATTGCTTCTGACCTGTTTTCTCGTTCTTTCTTTTTGGAACTCAAGTTAGGAGCATTCTAAAACTGTTGTCAATTTTTACCCTGTCACAAAACTGCTCTTTCTTGTTTCAGTTATTTGCTTTTTCTGTGCATTAATATTGATGGTTTCCTCTGTCATAGAGGATAAATACTCTCTTCACTGTTGTGTACACAACATTTTAACTAGTTATTCTGGTTTAAATTTAATATTGACTTTATCTACATATCACAATTGATTACTGTGTACAGACTTTCTTTTCTATTAGTATAAATTTATGAGGTACACTTGTAATTTTGTGACATGAGTATGTTGCAGAGTAGTGAAGTCAGGACTTTTACTATATCCATCACCCAAATACCGTACATTGTACTCATTAAGCAAATTCTCATCACTCACCCACGTCCCGCCACCCTCCAGCCTTCTAGCCTCCGCTGTCCGTCATTCCACACTCTACGTCCATATGTACACATTACTCCCCTCCCATGTAGAGTGAGAAGATGTGGTATTTGTCTTTCTGAGTGGTTTTATGTAAAATAATGGCGTCCAGCTCCATCTATGTTGCTGCAAAAGACATGGTTTTATTTTTATGACCAAATAGTATTTCGTTGTGTATACACGCATCCTTTTTTTAATCCAATCATTCATTCACAGACACTTAGATTGATTTCATATCTTTGCTATTGCAAACAGTGCTGCAATAAACATACAGGTGCAGATATTTTTTGAGTAGATACCCAGCAGCGGGACCCCTAGATCGAATGGTGCTTCTATTTTTGGTTCTCTGCCAAATTTCCATACTGTCTTCCATAGAGGCTATACTAATTTACATACCGGCCAACAGTGTATAAGAGTTTCCTTTTCTCTGCATCCTTGCCAACACCTGTTATATGTTTCACTTTTTCTTTTTTTCTTTTTGAGATGGAGTCTTCCACTGTCACCCAGGCTGGAGTGCAGTGCCGCCATCTCCACGCGCTGCAACCTCCACCAACCAGGTTCAAATGATTCTCCTGCCTCAACCTCCTGAGTAGCTGGGATTACAGAACCACACCACCATGCCCAGCTAATCTTTTGTATATTTAGTAGAGATGGGGTTTCACTATGTTGGTCAGGCTGGTCTCAAACTCCTGACCTCATGATCCACCCGCCTCAGCTTCCCAAAGTGCTGGGATTACAAGCGTGAGCCACCACTCCCCACCAGCATTTTTAGTAATAGCCATTCTGACTACTGTAAGATGATATCTCATTGTGGTTTCAATTTGCATTTCTCTGATGATTAGTGATGTTCATACGCTGTTTGGCCATTCGTATGTCTTCTTTTGAAAAATGTCTATGTATATCCCTTTGCCCACTTTTTAATGCTATTATTTGAGGGGTTATGTTTAGTTGTTTGAGTTGCCTAGAAATTCTGGATGTTAGTCCCCTGTTGGGTGCATAGTTTGCAAACATTTCCATTCATTCTGTGGGTTGTCTGTTCACCCTGCTACTATTTCCTTTGCTTGGCAGAAGCTCTTTCGTTTATTAAGTCCCATTGGTCTAGTTTTATTTTTATTGCCTGTGCTTTTGAGGTCTTAGTGATGAATTCTTTGCCCAGACCAATGCCCAGAAGAGTTTCTCTTTGGGTTTCCACCGGTGATTTTATAGTTCTGGATTTACATTTAAGCTGCTAATTACCTTAAGTTAATTTATGTGTATGATTACAGATACAGGTCCAGTTTTATTCTTCTGCATATGGCTATTTAGTTTTCCCAGCACCTTTTATTGAAAAGGAAATCTTTCTCCAGGGTATGTTTTGTTAACGTCGTCAATGATTATTCACTGTAGATATGAGGCTGTATTTCTGGGCTCTCTATTCTGGTCTATTGATCTCTGTTTCTGTGTCTATACCAGCACTGTGCTATTTAAGTTACTATAGCCTTAGAGCATAGTTTGAAGTCAGATAGCGTGATGCCTCCAGGTTTCTACATTCACCTAGAATTGCTTTCTCTATTAGGATCTTTTTTGGTTCTGTATGAATTTTAGGATTGCTTTTTCTAATTCTGTGAAAACTGGTGTTACTATTTTCATATAAGAATTGCACTGAATCTGTAGATTGCTTTAGGCAGTATGGTCATTTTAACAATATTAATTCTTATGATCCATGAGCGTGGGATTTTTTTTCTTTTTTTTTTTTGTATTATCTATAATTGCTTTCATTGGTGTCTTACACCTTTCCTGGTACAGATCTTTCACCACCTTGGTTAAATGTATTCCTGAGTGTTTTAATTTTGCGTATCTATTGTAAACGGCATTGCCTTCTTGATTTGGTTCTCAGCTAGATCATTATAGGTGTAGAGAAATGCTACCGGCTTTTACATATTGATTTTGTATTCTGAAACTTTACTTAGTTCATTTATCAATCATAAGAATTTTTGGCAGGGTCTTTAGGATTTTCTAGATTTAAGATCATAGCATCAGAAATAAAAATAATTTTACTTCCTCTTTTCTAATTTGGATTTTTACTTCTTCCTGTTGCCCAATAGCTCTGACAAGGCTTCCAGTACTATGTTGATAGGAAGTGGTGGATGTCCGTGTCCTTGTCTTGTGCCAGTTCTCAGAGGAGTGCTTTTAACTTTTCCTGTTCAGTATGATGTTGACTCTAGATATGTCATCTATGGCTTTTATTATTTTGAGGTATGTTCTTTCTATGCCTAAGTTTTTGAGGGTTTTCATCAGGTAAGGATGTTGAATTTCTTTTCAGATGCTTTTCTTTATGTCTATTGAGATGATCATATGGTTTTTGTTCTGGATTCTGCTCGTTCTTCTAAGTGGATGAGACATGCCAGAAAAGCATTTAGTCAGCCATCTTGGAAACAAGCATCTCAGATGTTTTCTTTCTCTATAGCTCATTCTTTCTTACCAGTGTTTTCAATTTTGTACTTAATTTTGTAAAGAGAGTAAATGATATAATTTCCACATATGTTTCCTCTGCCAAATCAGACTCACTATGCTTCCTTTCCTTGTATGCATAACCTACCCAGCAATACACACAAACATTTATTGCTTTGGAGAATTAGTTTGGGAACATTTTTGAAATGTACAAAAAAATGTATATCTTCAAAAGAAATTTCTTTTTGTGGCAAAAGACTTCTGAAGGTGCTCATGATGATATAGGGAGAAGAGGGGTTCTGGACAGGAAGAATTTTATGAAGGTGAGATGGGGAAATAGCTCCATTTCAGAGCTTCTGGGGAGAGAGGGGCCTGGCCCACATGGAAAGGTCTCTGATCTTACCCCCACCCTCCAGCCCCTGTTCTCCAGAACTATACTGTGGAGAGTTCCATCAGGATTGTTGTGGCTGGTCTGGTCTTCCTGGCTCTTTTGGCAATGCTGGCTAAGACCTGGTGGAGACATGAGGGGCCACAGGTGGAAATGGAAGAAACATGACTGAAGCTGGCTGGAGTGAATGGCGCGACATTCTGTCTGTGGGAGATTGGCCAGATGGGTTTCAAGTGTGTTGTATCAGCTGTGACTTTTAGTAATGTTCTTGCTACCACAATATCCACTCGTCCATCCCGAATAATTGTGATGAAATATTGTCCTTGGGATAATATTCATTTGCTAAAGACAGGGATGATACCTCAAGGTGCCACTATATACATCGAGGGGATCCACAAAAGTCCATTCAGTAAAATGTAGTTGGCATCTTAGGGTAGGTTGATTCCACCTCTAAAAAAGTAGGTACAACATCAGGTTGATTTTTCCGAAGAAAAGTGGTGATTGGCCATCTTTAGTCTCAATGTAAACGGTAATACTGATGAGTGTGGAAAAGGCAGGGAAGAGGATTGACAATAAGTGACACTCATTGTTTTCATCTGAGCTTTGAGACTGAAAGAGGAACACAGGAGTGAGATGTATGGGAACAAACCCCTTCTTTTTCCAGCTAAACAGAGTGGAAGTTGGACACTGAGTTTTGGCGTACAGCAAAATCCTAAGTCCATTGTTGGGTTGAACACGGCCATGTTGTACATCCTGGTTTCACAGCAGACACTGGAGGAAAACAGCCTGTATTCATAAGAGGCTGTCCCTCGGGTCACTGCCCAGAATATCCGGAGTTGGTGCTCACAGGGTTGGGAACTCTCCTGGACCAGACAGGCTCTGGATATGGGGGGGTACCAAGCTCCCCGGGGCCATGCCTCCACAGCTCTCTTCTCACCTCATTCTTGACCATTTCCCAAACCTCTGACCTCACCTTCATTCATCCATGGTGAACACGCTAAAGCTGGCCTTCAAAGCTTGAGACAGAGGAAAATTGGGCTTCATCTCTGGGAACTAAATTGGGGAGTGGAGACTCAGTTCTGGCCTGACAGGAGGGAGAAGACCCTGGATCCCAGTGTGGATGGGAAGAAGTATGTGTTTCTCTTTTGTGCTTGGACCCTGTGTCCAAGCATGTCTGAGATGTGATGAAGATGAATCTTCCTTTCCTTGTCTATTTTCTCATGCCAGAGAATTGGAATCTTATATTCCATTAACTCTTTCTGTTCTGTTCATCCAGATTCTATGAAGGAGAAAGGAAAAGATGTGATACTGTAATTTTGCTCCATTTGTCTAAAATGAGTAGGCTGCAACTCCTCTTGAAGTGATACCTTTTCTAGCTCTTGTTGGAGGTGTCTCAGGACTCATTACTTCGGGGAACCTGCAACTGTGTCAGTCTGGGGAAACTGCAAATATTCTTGTCTTACATTTGTCTCCAGCCAATTGTGATGGACTCCAGTGACCTGCAATTGCTGTTATTGCAGGTAAAATGTACCTGAGTCAGGCCACAGTTCTCCTGGACTATGAGCCCCTGGCCATGTTCCTGAGGCAATTCTGTTCATCTAAATATAATAATAATAACACACTAAAAATGGCAAGCCATTGTTAATTCCTGAAGTCTCATTTGAAAATTACTAAATGTCTGTTATTTTTTGGTGTTTACATTATATGTAGACAGATAAACTACACACACACACACACACACACATGCACACAGAAGAATGGATTGGTTCATGTAGAAAAGTAAATAATTCAAGATGAAAGGATGAAATGTCATGGCACCTACTATTCTATTTTAGATAAAGGGTCTATGAAAAGATTGATTTCTTTTTATGTTTTATTTGTTGACATTTGAACACAAACTATGTAAGTGAGGGAGTCGATTTGAAAGGGAGAAGAGCAAGTTCAAACACATTCAGGTGAGGTCATGCTTTACATGTTTTAATTGAAATGATCCATCTTGGGAGTAGATCAATAACTGAGATGGTGCCAGGAATGTTAAAAAGCTTTTGTCAGTCCTAAATATTGACAAATAAAATTTAATTAAAGTCTTAGAAGAAAACACAAAGGAAAACTTCACAACATCGGATTTGGCAGTGATTCTTTAGATGTGACAACAACGGCACAGGCTACTACAGAAAAAATAAACAAGTTAGACTTTATGAAAATTTTGAAATATTGTGACTCAAAAGACAACATCAGTTACTTCACATGGCAAGGAAAAAGAACTTTTAAGACGATATTATCAAAGTAAAAAGACAACCCACAGAATGGGAGAAAATGTTTTCAAACCACACCACCTGTAAGGGATTAACATCCAGAATATACAGACAACTCCTAAAACTCAATCACAATAAACTCAATTCAAAAATGGGCAAAGTACTGAAACAGACATTTCTCCAAAGAACATACGCATGAAAAGATATTCAGCATCACGAATCATTAGGGAAATACTAACTAAAACTACACCAGATGCCATTTCATACCCCTTAGGATGGGTATCATCAAAACAACAACAACAACAACAACAAAGTTTCTATACATTAACAACAAACTATCCAAAAAAGTTTACAAGAAAATAAGCCCATTTGCAATAACTACAGAAAACAAAACATGCAGGAATAAATTCACCCAAGGAGTAGAAAGATCTGTATGCAAAAGCTATAAAACATTGATGAAAAAACTCAAGAAATAAACAAATAAATCGAAAGATATTCCATGTTCACGGATCAGAAGGATTAATGTTGTTAAAATGTCCATTCTATCCAAAGTGATTCAATGCAACCATTATCAAAAATCCAATGACATTTTTTTTACAGAAATAGAAAAAACAGTCCTAAAATTCATGTGGAACCACAAAAGATCTCAAATAACCAAAGCCATCTAGAGGGAAAGGAACAAAGTTGGAAGCATCACATTACCTAAACACAAACTACATTACAAAATTACAGTAATTAAAACAACACAGTACTTGCATAAAAACAGACACATAGACCAATGGAAGTGATTCATAGCCCAGGAAAAAAATGCATGCATTTAGGGTCAAACAATTTTTGGGATGTGTCAAGAACACACAATGGAGAAGGAACAGTCTCTTTAATAAATGGGATTGGGAGACTGCATGTCCACATGCAGAAGAATGGAAGTGGACATTTGCCTCACAAAACATACAAAGTCAACTCAAGATAGATTAATGACTTAAATGTAAGATGAAAGACTATAATCCCAGCAATTTGGGAGGCCAAGGTGGGCAGATCACCTAAGGTCAGGATTCCAAGACCAGCATGGCCAACATGGTGAAATCCCGCCTCTACTAAAAATACAAAAACAGCTGGGTGTGGTTGTGGGTGCCTGTAATCTCAGCTACTCGGGAGGTTGAGACAGGAGAATCACTTGAACCCAGGAGGTAGAGGTTGCAGTGAGCCGAGATCGCACCACTGCACTCCAGCCGGGGCAACACAGTGAGACTCCATCTTAAAAAAAAAAAAAAAACTACTAAAAGAAATCAAGGGAAAACTCCACTGGCTTGGGCAAAACCATTTTGGATATTAACCCAAAGG
The DNA here is from genome assembly GCF_000001405.40 of Homo sapiens. NCBI lineage: Eukaryota > Metazoa > Chordata > Mammalia > Primates > Hominidae > Homo > Homo sapiens. The sequence goes on along the minus strand of NT_187641.1, from coordinate 108,164 downwards.
CCCAGGCAACAAAAGCAAAAGTAGACAAATAACATTATATCAAATTGAAAGTTTCTGCAAAGAAAAAAAAAACTCAACAAGTGGAAAGACAACCTATGGAATGGGAGAATATATTTGCACCCATACATCTAATAAGGAATTAATATCCAAAATATATAAGAAACTCAAACAACTCAATGGTAAGAAATCAAATAACCCAACTTAAAAAAATGGGCAAAGTATCTGAATAAACATTTCTAAGAATAAGACAAATCACCAAAAGGTATATGAAAAAATGATTAGCATTACTAAACATCAGCTAAATAAAAATTAAAACTAGAATGAGATATCACCTCACACCTCTTAGAATGACCATTAACAGTCTGGGCATGGTGGCTCATGCCTGTAATTCAGGCACTTTGGGAGGCCGAGGCAGGGAGATTACCTGAGGTCAGCAGTTCGAAACCAGCCTGGCCAATATGGTGAAACCCCATCCCTACTAAAAATACAAAAATTAGCAGAGTTTGGTGGCGCACACTTGTAGTCCCAGCTACTCTGGAGACTGAGGCAGGGGAATCGCTTGAACCCAGGAGGCAGAGGTTGCAGTACACCGAGATTGTGCCACTGCACTCCAGCCTGGGTGACAGAGCAAGACTGAGTCTCAAAAAAAAAAAAAAAAAAAGACCATTATCAAAAACATAAAAAATAACAAGGGTTAACGAGGATGTGGAGAAAAGGGAACATTTGTATGCAGTTGATGGGAATGTAAATTAGCACAACCATTATGGAAAACAGTCTGGAAGTTCCTGAAAAAATTAAACATAGAATTCCCATATGTGTCTGCAATCCAACTACTGCGCATGTATCCAAAGGAAGTGGAATCAGTATGTTGAAGAGATATCTGCATTCCCATGTTTACAGCCGCATTATTCATAACAGCCAAGATGTGGAATCACCCTTACTGCCCATCTATGGGTGCATGGACAAAGAAAACGTGGTATACGATAGGAACGTAATGAAGTACTATACAACCTTTACAACAAAGAAGGAAGTCCTCTCATTTGTGACAATGTGAAAAAACTTAGAGGACATTATGTTAAGGGAAACAATCCAGGCACAGAAAGACAAATGCCACATGATCTCATGTGTGGAGTGTAAGAAGTGGAACCTAGAGGAACAGTAAAATGGTCGTCGAAAGAACCTGGGATGGAGAGAGATTGAAGAGATGTTGGTCAAAGGATGCAAAATTTCAGTTAGAAGAAATCGGTTCAAGAGATCTATTGTATGTCTTGGTGACTCCAGTTAATAGCAACATATGGTGTATTGAACATTACTAAGAGATTAGATTTTACATGTTCTCACCACACACACAAAACATACAAGTATGTGAAAAAATAAATATGATAAAGAGGTTGTTTCATCCATTCCACAATGTGTACCTATATGAAAACATCATGATGGACACCACAAATACCCTTTTCCTCATTAATTAAATTTGTTTTGGTTTTTTTTTTGAGATGCAGTTTCACTGTTGTTGCCCAAGCTGAGGTGCAATGGCGTGATCTCCGCTCACTGCAACCTCTGCCTCCCAGGTTCAAGCGGTTCTCCTGACTCAGCCTCCCAAGCAGCTGGGACTACAGTTGCGTACCACCCCGTCCGGCTATATTTGTGTTTCTAGTAGAGACAGGGTTTCGCCATGTTGGCCAGGCTGGTCTCGAACTCCAGACCTCAGGTGATCCACCCGCTTCGCCCTCCCAAAGTGCTAGATTTCAGGCTGAGACACCACACCCAGCCTGTACATTGACTTTCTGCCCTTAAACTGTGCTGAAGTTTGTTTCTCAGATGTAGGAGCCTTTGGGCAGAGACTATGGGGTTTCTAGGTATAGAAATTATCTCATCTTCAAACAGAGGTAATTTGACTACCTCTCTCTGCTACTCTCTTCTTACTTGGATGCCTTATAATTCTTTCTCTTTCCTGATGGCTCTGTCTAGGACTTCAAGTACTATGTTGAATAGGATGGTGAGAGTGGGCATTCTTGTCTTGTTTCACTTATGAAGGGAACTTCTTCCAGCTTTTACTCATTCAGTATGATGTTGGTTGTGGGTTTGTCACAGGCGGCTCTTATTATATTGAGTTATGTTTCTTCAATGCTTAGCTTGTTGAGGGCTTTTAACATGAAGAAATGCTTAGTAAAAAGTATGTTCTACATGTGTGTTGAGAAGATCATGTGGTTTTTGTTTTTAGTTTTGTTTAGGTGATGAATCACATGTATTGATTGTGTATGTTCAACCAACCTTGCACCCTAAGAATAAAGTTGACTTGATCATGGTGGATTCACTTTTTGATATGCTGCGGGATTCAGTTCTTAGTATTTTTTGTGGATTTTTGCCTCTATGTTCATCAGGAATATTGGCATGTAGTTTTCTTTTGTTTAATGTTCTTTTCTGTCTTTAGTATCAGGGTGATGCCAGCCTTATAGAATGAGTAAAGGCCACCCTGGGCAAACAGTGAGACCCATCCCTTTTTAAAAATTATGAGTTTTACAAATTTAAAATGCATAGTGAAAAAGTTCTTACAAACTCCAGAAAGGTAGGTGTAAATAAGAGACATTTGTAAGAATGACAGCACATTAAATGTGTAGATTTCAACCTTCAGTTATTGCAATATTCCAGTATCAAGTTGGAGGATGTTATCAGTCTGATATTTTTTCCTCAAATGAGAGAGAGAAAGAAAGACACACAAACAACACAGGGAGAAAAAAAGCACACGTTACAGAGAGACAAAAAGGGAGACAGGGAACTGTGAATTTGGACTCTTGTGTCATAAGACAAATTCTAGATAACACGACCAGACCTTCAATTGACATATTGTGTTTTTGCTAATAAGGTGGAATTCTATGATGCGAAATAACTATATAGTCTTTTCTACTGGGATTTAAATCATTTTATCTGTTTCTGGCTTAACAGGAAAAATACAACCATGGAAAATTATGATGATTTATTTAATACGATTGCTCTATAGTGTTAATAAAACCTATTAGGTATTTTGCATATTACATATCAAGGAGAGTTTGAATCTCAGGTAGAAACAAAAAAAAATACATCAAAAGTTCCTCATGTGAGTGCAGAATTCAATCGTCCCGTGCAGGGGTAAGTGAGTCTGAGATGTGTTTTGAGCCTGGCCGTTGCGCATGATGTGAAGTGACAAGTCTAGTCTGCAGTTTTCAGAAACCCTCATTCCTCCCTTGACTGATTCACCACTTGAACCTCATATGACGTAGAAGAAGCCTACCTATGTCCCCTTCACATGTTGTGGTCAATGTGTCAACTGCACGATCCGGGCCCCTCACCACATCCTCTGCACCGGTCAGTCGAGCCGAGTCACTGCGTCCTGGCAGCAGAAGCTGCACCATGTCCATGTCACCCACGGTCATCATCCTGGCATGTCTTGGTGAGTCCTGGAAGGGAAGGAGCACCAGGGTTACACTATGGGCCTGCAGATTGGGTGTCTCCCCAGCAGAGAGCCATGTTCTGAAGCAAGTGAGTGGTGAGGATGAGTTAATTTTCAGTCCAGCGTGGCGCCCAGTGGCTCAGGAGGAAAGGGTAGGTTGCTGCCGAGATGAATAGTTCCTCATGATCTTTCTTTGCAGGGTTCTTCTTGGACCAGAGTGTGTGGGCACACGTGGGTGAGTCCTTCCCCAAATGATGGGTTGCCATCTTCACCCCAATACAAGTGAATTTTCCGGAAATGGGAGGGAGGCAGCACAGAGGGTGGGCTGATGGGCTGACCATGGGAAGGCCTGGGGGGAGTCTCTCATGAACTAGTAAGAGGAGATCCTGGGAGTCTCTCATGAACTAGTAAGAGGAGATCCTGGGAGTCTCTCATGAACTAGTAAGAGGAGATCCTGGTATGCTCAGCCTTCTGTTTTGTCTTAGCCCTCCCCAGCCTTTCTTCCCCATGGCTGAGTTGAGCTCTGTGTGGCCCAGGCGGGATACTGAGGTGCTCAAAGCTGGGGTGTGTGGGGGGATGTGGTGTCACCGACAGAGGAGGGAAGGGTAGCAGTGTTAGGAACAGCAGGTCCTCTGAGGACAAGAGGGTAACTCACACCCTCCAGCGTTTCCATGACGGTAGGGGCTGCAGTGTGGCTGCTGTCATTCTGCCAGAAGAGGTGGGGGAACCACAGCCACGACCCTGCCATTCCAAATCCTCTGATGGAGCTCAGTTGTTTATTGTGGTTCAGGCATTAGCTAATATTCCATTCACAAAGGTCATACCCTCCACCCCATGTCTACTTTGTGTTGTTTGGTGTAACTAATCTTGCAGTATTAAAATCTAGTAAGAGTCCCTTACTCAGCACCTGCTCAGTTCTCAACTGACACTTTTGTTGTAGGGAGACGCCACGTCTATGCGGGATGGGTCCTTCCTGTAGCCCCAGGCACCCAGGTGTGGTAGGAGCCTTAGAAAGAAGAAATGGGGAGAATCTTCTGAGCACAGGGAGGGAGGGGCAGCTCAACATACTCCTCTCTGAGGCGGCATCTCCTTCTCCCCAAGGTGGTCAGGACAAGCCCTTCTGCTCTGCCTGGCCCAGCGCTGTGGTGCCTCAAGGAGGACACGTGACTCTTCGGTGTCACTGTCGTCGTGGGTTTAACATCTTCACGCTGTACAAGAAAGATGGGGTCCCTGTCCCTGAGCTCTACAACAGAATATTCTGGAACAGTTTCCTCATTAGCCCTGTGACCCCAGCACACGCAGGGACCTACAGATGTCGAGGTTTTCACCCGCACTCCCCCACTGAGTGGTCGGCACCCAGCAACCCCCTGGTGATCATGGTCACAGGTCAGAGGGCTCCTGTCTGGGCTTCTCCTTGTCCCACCTCCTGAGTCCCAGAGCTTCTGGTGGGGGTGTCCACCAGAGTCCGATCATCCAGGCCCCAACTATATTTGGGGTAAAGGGGGATTGAATACAGGGGAATGGGTGCTGTGTTGGAAAGAATAACTGTCCCCATCGATGGCCACATTGTAATCCTTGGAGCCTGTGACTATGTTATAGGGCAGGGGACTGAAGGGGAAGATGGAGCTCAGGTTGTTGATGAGTTGACCTTGAGATGGGGAGATGGCCTGGACCCTCCCACTGGGCTCAGTGTAATCACAAGGGTCCATATGAGTGGAGAAGGAAGAGGAGAATGGGGATTAGAGCAGCATCGTGGGATACTCCACCAGCCACTGTGGGCTTTGAAGGTGGAGGAAGACCACGAGCCACGAAGGGGCTGGAGAAATCAATGGAACTGATTCTCCCGAGTCTCCAGAGGGAATGCAGCCCTGCAGATGCCTTGATTGTAGCCCAGGAAGAACAGGGTCTGATTTCTGTCTCCAGAAGTGGAAGGGGTCAGTGTGTTCTCTCCTGCCGCCATGTTTGTGATAATTTTCTCCAGCAACATCAGGAAACCAACACAGGAACCCAGGTGAAGGACAAGTTAAAAAACCAAACAAGAAGGTTGGCTACCCTGAGATCAGCAAGGGTGCACTGCTGATGCCACCACCAGGCTGGAACCACATAGGGAGGGATCGACAGGAAGAGTTGGGGGTGGAGGGTGAGAGAGAGAGAGAGAGAGAGAGCACTAGGCCATAGAGCAGGGCAGTGAGTTCTCAGCTCAGGTGGGAGGGGAGCTGTGACAAGGAAGAACCTCCCTGAGGAAACTGCCTCTTCTCCTTCCAGGTCTATATGAGAAACCTTCGCTTACAGCCCGGCCGGGCCCCACGGTTCGCGCAGGAGAGAACGTGACCTTGTCCTGCAGCTCCCAGAGCTCCTTTGACATCTACCATCTATCCAGGGAGGGGGAAGCCCATGAACTTAGGCTCCCTGCAGTGCCCAGCATCAATGGAACATTCCAGGCCGACTTCCCTCTGGGTCCTGCCACCCACGGAGAGACCTACAGATGCTTCGGCTCTTTCCATGGATCTCCCTACGAGTGGTCAGACCCGAGTGACCCACTGCCTGTTTCTGTCACAGGTGAGGAAAGCCAATGTCTGTCCCATGTCCTATGGTCCTAGAGCCTTAGCTGAGGAGCTTCCTGCTGATGATGGAGAGAAGCATGGACAGATGTGGAGAGAAGATGCAGCATGGTGTGAGGGTGGGATCAGGGCACAGGATGGCAGACAGGGCACCTCCAAACCCTCCTGCATGGCCTGCATGGAAGCTTGCAGTAAGGGCTCCGGGTACCCAGGCAGATGGAGAAAGTGGTCAGGACAGACCCAGAGGAGGGAGACTGGGCTCAGTTTGGGGAGATCAGAGGTTCCCTCAGCCCCTCAACCTTACCCATTTCCCAGAAGCCCACCCTGGCCTCTCACCTACACAGAGATGTCATCACCAGCAACCCCTACACTTTTTCTTTTCCTTTGAAAAAATGCTGATTGAGGTTAAATATACCTATATAATTTATCAACTTTACCATTTTTAAGTGTAAAATCTAGGGATCATAAATACCTTTATATGCTGTGTGCGGTGGCTCACGCCTGTAATCTCAGCATTTTGAGACGCCAAGGCAGGTGGATCATTTAAAATCAGGGGCTGGAGACCAGCCCGGCCAACATGGGGGAACCAATCTTTACTAAAAAGACAAAAAAAATAAAATTAGCCAGGCATGGTGCCAGGCGCCTATAATCCCAGCAACTTGGGAGGCTGAGGCGGGAGAGTGGCTTAAACCCAGGAGGAGGAGGTTGCAGTGAGCTGAGATCATGCCACTGCACTGCAGCCTGGTGACACAGAGAGACTCTGTCTCTAAATAAATAAATAAATACTTTTATATTCTTCTTTTGTTACCCTCCACCCCTTCCTTCCTAACCTCTGGTATCCACCATTCTACTCTCTACCTTCATGAGGTCCACCTTTTACATCCTGCATGTGAGTAAGAAATGGCAATCCTTGTAATGACCTCCAGTCCATCCATGTGGCTGCAAATGACAGGACGTTTCTCTTTGTATGGATGAGTTGTCTCCATTGTGTGTATGTACTACATTCTCTCTATCCATTCATCCACTGATGGGCAGGTAGGTTGACTCCACATCTTGGCTACTGTGAACAGTGCTGGAACAGTCATGGGAGTGCAGATGTCACTTCAATACACTGAAGTCCTTTTCTTTGCATTTACACCCACTAGTGGAATTGCTAGATCCTCTGGATGTTCTCTTTTTAGGTTTTGTTTTATGCTTTTTGTTTTTTTGACATAGCGTTTCACTCTTGTTGCCCAAGCTGGAGTGCAATGGCACCACCTGGGCTCACTGCAACCTCTACCTCCAGGATTCAAGTGATTCTCCAGCCTCAGCCTCCCGAGTAGTTGGGATTACTGGTGCCCGCCACCACGCCTGGCTGATTTTTGTATTTTTAGTAGAGACGGGGTTTCACCATGTTAGCCAGGCTGGTCTCGAACTCTTGACCTCCAGTGATCTGCCCACTTCAGCCTCCCAAGGTGCTGGGATTACAAGCGTGAGCCACAGTGCCTAATCTCTTTTTAGTTTTTAAGGAACTTCCATATTCTTCTCCTCTGTAATGGCTGTATTAATTTACATTCCTATCAACAGTGTATCAGGGTTCTCCTTTCTCCACCACCTTGCCAACATTTGTTTTGTCTGTCTCTGAGATAAAACCCATTGTAATGGGGTGAGATGATAGCTCATTGTGACTTCATTTGCATTTCTCTGATGATTAGTGATACTGAGCACTTTTTCATATATGCAATGTATATATGTTCATTTGTATGTTTTGTTCATTGAGAAATGTCTGTTCAGGTCTTTTACTAATTTTATAATTAAATTATTAGTTTTATTGAGGTGTTTGAGCTTCTTTTATATTCTAGTTATTAATCCCATCTCAGATGCATAGTTTGCAAATATTTGCTCCCATTCTGTGGGTTGTCTCTTCTTCACTTCATTGGTTGCTTCCTTTGCGGTGCAGAAGCTGCTTGATTTGATATAATCCCAATGGTCTATTTTTTTGTTGTTGTTGTGATTACTTGTGTTTTTGAGGTTTTAAACAAAATGTCTTCCCTCAGACAAATGTCCTGGAGCATTTCTCCAGTGTTTCCTTTTAGACATTTAATGGATTCAGGTCTTAAGTCATTAATCCATTTTCATCTGATTTTTGTGTATGGTGAGAGGTAGAGGTGCAGTTTCATCCCTCTGCATGTAGATATCCAGTTTTCCCTGCACCATTTATTGAAATGACTGTCCTTTCCAGATTGTAGATTCTTCGAACCTTTGTCAAAGTCCATTGGATGTAAATGGGTGGATTACATCCGTGTTCTTCATTCTGCTCCATTGTTTTATGTGCTTTTCTTTATGCCAATGTCATGTTGTTTTGCTTACTACAGCTCTGTAACATATTTTTAAGTCAGGTAGTGTGATGCTCCTGTTTTCTCCTTATACCTTGAAGTCTCAAGATAGTTGGTGTCACCTACAATGATTATGGAGAATGGGATGCCAGGACTCCCAGGGCCCAACATTAGATAATAGAATGTTGGCCATGAACCAACCTCAAAGATTTCCATTGAGTAGAAGACAGGCATCCTCATTGCCACACCTCTCTCCTGTCCCATGTTCTAGGAAACCCTTCTAGTAGTTGGCCTTCACCCACTGAACCAAGCTTCAAAACTGGTAAGTGAAGGACCCCTCTTATCTCTGCTTTTGGAAACCTGGGGAGGTAGAAGCCTTGGATTCAAGCGTTGGCTCAGCACCTGCCAGCTCTGTGATTGTGGGCCTGTCTTCCATTGTCTCTGAACCCCAGACACTCCAACAGCGAAAGGGATCTGGGCCCAGCACAGGGCTCAGTGAAATCTCTTAATCTCTAATTTTCTGCTGCTGAGACCTCAGGGTAGAAGGATGAGTGCAAATCAGACATTCTTCTCAGGAAAAATGCTGTGTTTGTTCTGCCTGCATTCCTAACTGGGAGGACAAATGCCTGGGGGCTTGAGAAGGGGAAGGACGGGGAACATTTTTGAGGGTGGTGTATTTGTAGAGAAGTTCTACTTGCCAAGGAATGAGCTCCTGTCTGTCATGATCCAACCCTGGTTGACTTAGTGGAACAAGAGCTTTGCGGTAAGAGAGAACGTAGTTCATCCGTGCACATGACACTTCCACTTACTCGTTCAGCCACTGCCCCATGCTCAGACTGTGCAGTGTGGAACCTTTTCCTATGTTGCCATAACAAATTTCCACAAGCTTCGTGGATGGAAACCACATTTTAAAAAAATATCTCATGGTGCTGTAGCTCAGAAGTATGAAATGCATCATCTCACTGGGCTAAAATCAAGGTGACAGCAAGGCTGCCTTCCCTCTGAATGTTCCAGGCAAGAATCTGCTTCCTCACTTTTCCCAGCTCCTAGAGGCTCCCACATTCCTTGGCTCCTGGTCCCCGTCTTCCTCCCTCAAAGTCCACAAAGGCTGGTCACGCCTCTCACACGGCATCACTCAGACCCTTCTTCCTTGTCCACACCTCTTTCTCTGAATGCTGCTCTGCCTTCTTCCTCATCTTTTAAGGACTTTGGCATTCTATTGGAAACACCAAGATAATCCATCATAATTTCCCTAAAATCATCTAGGATACCCTCCTTTTAAGGTTAGCTGATTAGCAACCGTAATTCCATCTGCAATCTGCATTCCTTTTTTCCATGTAAAATAACATATTCACAAGATATGGCGACTAGGACAGGAACATTTTGGGGTGGGGCGGCATTCTTATCCTTTCCACAAATGGTAAACAAGGTGCATTTGGCCTCTGCTCTTGGACACTGATATTGCAAAGGATTAAATGGGAGGGCAGAAAATGAATGCACCAGTGGACCAATAAATGAATGATCCATTGGGAAGCATCTGTGCATGAGAATGATTGATTGATTGGTTGTTTTTATGAGACGGTGTCTCCCTCTGTGCCCCAGGCTGGAGTGCAGTGGCGGGATCTCGGCTCACCGCAACCTCCACCTCCCAGGTTAAAGCGATTCTCTACACTCAGCTTCCCGAGAGGCTGGGATTACACCCATGTCCCACCACGCCTGGCTAATTTTTTTTTGGTATTTTTTTTTTAGTACAGACAAGGTTTTACCATGTTGCCCAGGCTATCTCAAACTCCCAACCTTAAGGGATCCGCCCGTCTCAGCCTCCCAAAGTGCTGAGATTCGAGGCGTGAGCCAAGGCGCCGAGCCGTATTTTAAAAGAAATAATAGATAATGCTGAGTGTATAATTTCGGGTGACAGAGAAGTTCTCACTGATCAAATAATACTTGTGACCTTAATGAAAAAAATAGATCAACCCCTGGAAGATTGGCGGAAGGATTTTCCACACAGCTGTCAGCCGTGAAGGCACAAAGGTGAAAACAATGTTATGTGGAAGGAAGAGGCTCTGCCTGAAATGCTGGGAATGAGATGGGGAGAATGACAAGACGACTGTGGAGAGACAGAGAGCACTCTGGGTACACAGGAAACTAAGGAGGAACAAGGAGCGTGTGTTTGACACTCACAGCCATTGGACTTACCTCGGGGCTAACTGGGAATCCCTACATGATGAATAGTGACTGACATGAAAATAAGGGAGGCCCAGGTGCATAACTGGAATCTAGGAGACTGTGGAAAAGGCAATTCCCGCCCCCCTGGTGAAATGTGGTGCTGATTTAGACACTAAATGAATGAAAGATGGACACAAGATGTGTTTGTGAGGTAGAGTAATTTGCAGGGAGGGCTTGCCTGCTTTGATTTTTCCTAATTGTTTAATCTTCACTTCATTGATTTCTTTCTGAGATTTATTTTTCCTACATGTAAATCAATACTTGGCAGAGGAGTGAGAGATACATGAGGGGTGGTGCAAAGGAAGAGACCTATTATAATATAACACACAAGGTTCTGAACGGTGGCTCACACCTGTAACCCAACATTTTGGGAGGCTGAGGAGGCTGGATCAAGTGAGATCAGGAGTTCGAGATCAGCCTGGACAACATGGTGAAACCCCATCTCTACTAAATATACAAAAACTAGCTGGGGGTGGTGGCGCATGCCTGTAATACCAGCTATTCGGGAAGTTGAAGAAGGAGAATGGCTTCAACCAGGGAGGGAGAGGTTACAGTGAGCCAAGATCGCGTCATTGCACTGCACCCTAGGTGACAGAGTGAGACTCCATGGCAAAAAATAAAAATAAAGAATACATAAATATAATATAACATACACGAATGACAAAGGCACACCAATTCCAATCATCATTTTTCTATTTCTCTATAATGACTTCTTTGATCCTTTATCCTATCCATAAGAAAATCAGGCGAAAACATCTTCCTTATTTGGCTTTCTGTGAGCATGAGATCATATGGAAAATGTGAAACCCACCAGCGCAGGTCCTGGAATAGAGAACGTGATCTGTTCATGGCACAAAACTTGCCCCTTCACCCAAATCCCCCACCTCACCCCTACTTCCAATCACATTAATGATACAGATAGATCATGGGGAGGTAAAAACTAATATTCTTTGGAGTTCAGATCGTAGACTCAGAGACCAGTGCCAGCACTATCTCCTGGTCACCTTTTGGAGTAATTCACAGAAAGACAGGCTGTATTGAAGCAACAGATGATGGAGGGGGTGGTCTTTCCCCCAGACTCTCGGGTGGAACAGCAGCCTAATATCTGACTCCCAAGATGACAAAAGTAGCATGTTGCCCACGAGCTTCATCATTATTTCCTGGCTGTTTGATATAAGACAGCTCAACCTCACTTATGTTGATTTCAATGTCACTGTTTTTTCCTTTTCTTGGAGAATGTAATTTGTTTGAGTCAAGAGGGTTGTGGATGTAGAAACTGTAAAGCACATTCACTGTGTATCAATCCCAGTCCAGTCTTCCCAGAGAAGACTCTAAACACCTCCCATACTGCACCTGGGGCTGTGCCAATTTCTATCACTCACCATCACTCCAGGGAGACAGAACACACAGGGAATACATTACATAGGCAGGTTCATTACTTATAGATAAGCAGCGAGTGACAACAGAAACCTTCCTTTCAGGGTGAGCCAGTCCCTCAAGGCTCAGAAAAACTGCTCAGGACACATGGAGTCACTTCATGTGCACTGTAGCTGGGGGAAGCCAGAAAGCAGCCCAGCCTGGGTTTTGTACCCTGGAGCCACAGGGAACACTCAGCTAAAGCACTGCATGATGTTCTCCTCCAGGAAGAACAGGAAGACAGCCCAGGCTGTTCTGAGACGTTCCTCCTGATCTCAGGATGTTGCTGTCTTAGCCTATTTTTGTTGCTATAAAAGAACACTTGAGCCTGGGTATCTTCTAAAGAAAAGAGATGTGTTTGGCTCACTGATCTGCACGCTGTACTAGAAGCAGGACACTACCATCTATTTCTGGCTGCGGCCTCAGGCTGCTCCCACACTGACAGAAGAGAAGGGGGTCCTGCGTGTGCAGAGACCACAGAGATCACATGGCAAGAGAGGGAGAAAGGGGGTGTGATGGAGCTTCCAAGCTCTTTTTAAGAATCAACTCTCCAGGGTACTAATAGAGGGAGAACTTGCTAACCCCGTCCTCTGGGGACAGCATTAATCTATTCATGATGGATCCACCCCCATGACCAAAACACCCCTCCCAATAGGCACAACCTCCCACACTGGGGATTAAATTTCAAAGTGGGGTTTGGAGGGGTCAAACATTGAAACAATAGCAGTTGTATCATCAGCACATTCTATTGTTATTATGAAAACTATAACGGAGAAAGCAGGAGAAAGCTGGGTCTCCCGCCTCGTGGGTGCTTGTCCTAAAGAGGTGTTTTATGTGGTTGCCTGGCAACCAAGAAATGAGAGACAATCCACAAAGAGGAACTGCTATGGTTAGCTTCTTATTGGATTCTCATCTTCCTCCAGGTATCGCCAGACACCTGCATGCTGTGATTAGGTACTCAGTGGCCATCATCCTCTTCACCATCCTTCCCTTCTTTCTCCTTCATCGCTGGTGCTCCAAAAAAAAAAGTAAGCCTCACGAAGCAGAGGCCAGAGAACTCAGGGCCCTGTGCGGAAGCAGGATGGGAGCACGCAGGTGTGTGTTCCTCACTGGCAGGAAAGTCTCTGGCCCAAGGCAGGAGCCAGAGGCAGAGCTTTCTAGAGAGAGCACCAGACAACCTGCCCCTGCCTTCAGCTCACAGACCATTGCCTGATTGTGAACTGTATCCTCACGTCCCCTGCAGCCACTCACATCCAGGAGAAGATTCCATGACAGGCAGAAAGTGGGAGATAGAATCAATGGGATGGGAACTGACAGCTATTCATGGAATGGGGTCTTGCACTCAGAGAGATGGAATGTCTGAGTCTGGCTGTTGGCAGCTGAGGGACCTCAGGCACCTATGGCCTCCCCCTGTGTGTTGGTATCTGTTCATGAAATGAGGACCCAGAAGTGCCCTCCCAGCTGTTTCGATTGCTTCCGTCTCCTACAGATGCTGCTGTAATGAACCAAGAGCCTGCGGGACACAGAACAGTGAACAGGGAGGTAGGTCCTCCTAGCCCAGCCTCATGGATACAGTCTTATTCCCTAATAGTCCTGAAAAATGTGAACACCCTCCCTCACTCAGGATTTCCCTCTCTCCAGGACTCTGATGAACAAGACCCTCAGGAGGTGACATACGCACAGTTGGATCACTGCATTTTCACACAGAGAAAAATCACTGGCCCTTCTCAGAGGAGCAAGAGACCCTCAACAGATACCAGCGTGTGTATAGAACTTCCAAATGCTGAGCCCAGAGCGTTGTCTCCTGCCCATGAGCACCACAGTCAGGCCTTGATGGGATCTTCTAGGGAGACAACAGCCCTGTCTCAAACCCAGCTTGCCAGCTCTAATGTACCAGCAGCTGGAATCTGAAGGCGTGAGTCTCCATCTTAGAGCATCACTCTTCCTCACACCACAAATCTGGTGCCTGTCTCTTGCTTACCAATGTCTAAGGTCCCCACTGCCTGCTGCAGAGAAAACACACTCCTTTGCTTAGCCCACAATTCTCTATTTCACTTGACCCCTGCCCACCTCTCCAACCTAACTGGCTTACTTCCTAGTCTACTTGAGGCTGCAATCACACTGAGGAACTCACAATTCCAAACATACAAGAGGCTCTCTCTTAACACGGCACTTAGACACGTGCTGTTCCACCTTCCCTCGTGCTGTTCCACCTTTCCTCAGACTATTTTTCAGCCTTCTGGCATCAGCAAACCTTATAAAATTTTTTTGATTTCAGTGTAGTTCTCTCCTCTTCAAATAAACATGTCTGCCTTCATTCTTTAGGTGACTCTTTTTTTGGCTGAAAGTTTCCAGTGTTATCATTACCATGTCCAAATAACTCCAACTGTTCTCCACTGGGTTCTCACCCCTGGACTCTGAGCTTCTGGAAGCAGGGTGGAGCCTCATTTGTCTCTGAGACTCCAATTTCCATCCAAAGATGCAGCACATAAGAGGTTCCAAGGATCGTGAATCACATGAACAAGTGATATTCTTACTCTCTGCAGACCTGGAAAGCTGGCAGAGTCATTCCATGATGAAACATTTGTAGAGTCATAGGCCTTGTTAGTCTCATCTCCACGGGGACACATATCAACACATCATCTTTCATACTATAAATATACAGTCGGTCCTCTGTATCTGTGGGATTTACAGGTGTTTATTGAACCAAATATAAATCAAAAATATTCAGAGAAAAAATCCACAAAGTTTCAAAAAGCAAAACTATGTTGAATGGACACAAATGAAGCTGTGTGTAGGCTGTATCAGGAATTATAAATAATCAAGGGATGATTTCATGTACACAGGAGGATGTGCATGGGTTATTTGCAAATGCTGTGCCATTTCATGTAAGAGGCTTGAGCATCTGCAGATTGTGCTATCTGAGTGGAGATCCTGAGACCAATCACCCACGAATAATGAGGGATGACTGTATATAATTTTTATTTCTCAATTTTAAATATAAAACATAAAAAAATTACAATAACAAGATAAAATAAACAAGTGTTTTATAGTGTGAGAATACTTTTAGATATATTTTTCTCCATGTGTAACCCTTGGGCCCATGTTATTTATTGAGAAGACATTCTATTCCACCTTAAACCACATGGCAGCCTTTGTCAACTATAAAGGGACTGTGTGTACACGGATGTATTTTAGACACTGTTTTCTGCTCAGTGGCTCTCTCTCTGTCCACTCTCTTGAGAATGCTGCATTTTATGCAGCCTTATACAACCCCTAAAATTTGGTAGCTGGAGTCCTCTAGTTATTTATTATAGGCTATTTGCTATGCTTTTTTTATTTTTCTTGAGGCAGAGTCTCGCTCTGTTGCCCAGGCTGGAGTGCAGTGGCACGATCTCGGCTCACTGCAACTTCTGCCTCCCAGGTTCAAGGGATTCCGTGCCTCAGCCTCTTGAATAGCTGGCATTACAAGTGCCTGCTACCAGGCATGGCTAATTTTTGTATTTTTAGCAGAGACATGGTTTCACTATATTGGCCAGGCTGGTCTCAAACTCCTGACCTCGGTTGATCACTCACCTCGGCTTCCAAAGTGCTGGGGAAATTGATTTTCTATAGCATTATGTTACTGGATATTTCTGTAAAATTTAAAATGAGGGAGGCAGAGAGACAGAGAGAGAGCAAACCATGAGTTGGAACTCTGGAATCTTGGGACATGAGACAAATTCTAGATAAATCTACAAAAATCCAGAATTTACATGTTGTGATTTTTGCTGATAAAGTACAATTCTAAGATTGTAAATAATTGCATAATCCTTCCCTGGGAGTTTAAATCATTTGAACTGGTTCTGCTGTAATACTAGAAATACAATCATGAAAAATTCTAATGGTTTATTAGTCACAATTGCTCTGAAAACCTTAATAATACCTATTAGATATTTTGCATATTACACAGGAAGAAGAGTTTGAATCTCAGATAAAAGCAATAAAAATACATGAAAAGTCTTTCATGTTAGCACAGATTTTAGGCATCTCGTGTTCAGGAGGTTGGATCTGAGACGTGTTTTGAGTTGGTCATAGTGAAGGACGCGAGGTGTCAATTCTAGTGAGAGCAATTTCCAGGAAGCCATGCTCCGCTCTTGAGCGAGCACCCACTGGGCCTCATGCAAGGTAGAAAGAGCCTGCGTACGTCACCCTCCCATGATGTGGTCAACATGTAAACTGCATGGGCAGGGCGCCAAATAACATCCTGTGCGCTGCTGAGCTGAGCTGGGGCGCAGCCGCCTGTCTGCACCGGCAGCACCATGTTGCTCATGGTCGTCAGCATGGCGTGTGTTGGTGAGTCCTGGAAGGGAATCGAGGGAGGGAGTGCGGGGATGGAGATCTGGACCTGGAGGTAAAGATATGGGCCTAGAGGTGGAGTTATGGGCCTGGAGGTGGAGTTATGGGCCTGAAGTGGAGATCTGGGCCTGGAGTGGAGATCTGGGCCTGGAGTGGAGATAGGGGCCTGGGGTGGAGATATGTGCCTGGAGTGGAGATCTGGGCCTGGAGTGGAGATATGGGCCTGGGGTGGAGATATGTGCCTGGGGTGGAGATATGGGCCTGGAGGGGAGATATGGGCCTGGAGGGGAGATGTGGGCCTAGAGGTGGAGTGATGGGCCTAGAAGTGGAGCGATGGGCCTGGAGTGGAGATATGGGCCTGGAGGTGGAGTTATGGGCCTGCAGTAGAGATATGGGCCTGAAGTGGAGATATGGGCCTGGAGTGGAGATATGGGCCTAGAGGTGGAGTTATGGGCCCGGAGGTGGAGTTAAGGGCATGAAGTGGAGATCTGGGCCTGGAGTGGAGATATGATCCTGGAGTGGAGATATGGGCCTGGGGTGGAGATACGGGCCTGGAGCAGACATACAAGCCTGGAAAGGAGATATGGGCCTGGAGAGGAGATAGAAGCCTGGAGTGGAAATATGGGCCTGGAGTGGAGATATGAGCCTGGAGTGGATATATGAGCCTGGAGTTGAGATAGGAGCCTGGAGTGGAGATATGGGCCTGGAGTGGACTTATCAGCCTGGAGAGGAGATATGGGTCTGGAGTGGAGATACGGACCTGGAGTGGAGATCTGGGCCTGTTGTGTAGATCTAGGCCTGGAGGTAGAGATCTGGGCCTGGAGGCTGAGTCTCTGCACAGCCGAGATCCTTGTTCCTGGGGGCAGGTAGGCAGCGAGGGTGAGTTTACCTTCAGCCCAGCAAGGGCCTGGCTGCCAAGACGCACAACCCAGTGGGGGGCAGCAGGGTGCCCTGGTTTGCCTGCAGATGGATGGTCCATCATGATCTTTCTTTCTAGGGTTGTTCTTGGTCCAGAGGGCCGGTCCACACATGGGTGAGTCCTTCCCCAAACCTTAGGGTGTCATCTCCCCACATAAGAGGATTTTCCTGAAATGGGAGGGAAGTCCTGTCGGGGAGTCTCTCATACACTAGGAAGAGGGGACCCTCGGATGCTCGGCCCACATTTCTGACCTTGCCCTCCCCGGCCTTTCTTTCCCTTTCCTGAGTCAAGCTCTGTGAAGACTGGGGTGAGACTAGGGTGCTCCAAGATGGGTGTGCAGGGAGGAAGTGGTGTCAGCAGCAGAGAAAGAGAGGGAAGCAGTGCTAGGAACAGCAGGTCCTCTGAGGACAAAGGTGTAACTCACACCCTCCAGCGTTTCCGTGATGGTAGGGGCTGCAGTGTGGCTGCGGTCTTTCTACCAGAAAAGGTGAGGAAACCACAGCCATGGCCCTGACATTCCAAATCCTCTGATGGGGGCTCAGTTCATCAATTGGCTGATATTCCATTCACATAGGACTTGCCCTCCATGCCGTGTCTACTTTGTATTGTTTTATATGAGTAATTTTGCAGTATTAAAATCTAGTAAGAGTTGCTTCTCCAGCACTTGCTCAAAGTTCTCAGCTGACACTTGTTGTAGGGAGACGCCATGTCTATGCAGGATGGGTCCTTCCTGTAGCCCTGGGCACCCAGGTGTGGTAGGAGCCTTAGAAAGTGGAAATGGGGAGAATCTTCTGGGCACTGGGAGTGAGGGGCGGCTCCACATCCTCCTCTCTAAGGCAGTGCCTCCTTCTCCCCCAGGTGGTCAGGACAAGCCCTTCCTGTCTGCCTGGCCCAGCGCTGTGGTGCCTCGCGGAGGACACGTGACTCTTCGGTGTCACTATCGTCATAGGTTTAACAATTTCATGCTATACAAAGAAGACAGAATCCACGTTCCCATCTTCCATGGCAGAATATTCCAGGAGGGCTTCAACATGAGCCCTGTGACCACAGCACATGCAGGGAACTACACATGTCGGGGTTCACACCCACACTCCCCCACTGGGTGGTCGGCACCCAGCAACCCCATGGTGATCATGGTCACAGGTCAGAGGCTTTCCGTCTGGGCTTCTCACTGTCCCACCTCCTGAATCCCAGAGCTTCTGGTGGGGCTGTCCGTCAGGGTCCCATCACCCAGGCCCTGGCTGTATTTGGGGTCAAGGGAGATTGAATACAGGGCAAATGGGTGCTGTGGTGGGAAGAATAACTGTCCCCAATGATGGCTACATTGTAATCCCTGGAGCCTGTGACTATTTATGTTATAGGGCAGGGGACTGAAGGGGAAGGTGGAGCTCAGGTTGTTGATGAGTTGACCTTGAGATGGGGAGACAGCCTGGACTGTCCCACTGGGCTCAGTGTAATCACAAGGGTCCGCGTGAGAGGTGGAGGAAGAGGGGAGTGGGGATTAGAGCAGTGTAGTGGGAGGGAGACGCTATCAGCCACTGCGGGCTTTGAAAGTGGAGGAAGACCACTAGTCACAGAATGCAGGTGGCCTCTAAGGGCTGGAGAAGTCAGGAGAACTGATTCGCTGATTCTCCAGAGGGAACGCAGCCCTGTAGACGCCTTGATTTCAGCACAGGGAGAACTGGATCCAATTTCTGTCTCCAGAAGTGGAAGGGGTCAGTGTGTTCTCTCCTGCTGCCATGTTTGTGGTAATTTTCTGCAGCAGCAACAGGAAACCAACACAGGAACCCAGGTCAAGGACAAGTTAGGAACCCAGGTCAAGGACAAGTTAGGAAACCAAACAAGGACAGCCAGGTGTGGTGGTGGGCGCGAGTAATCCAACGACTGGGGAGGCTGAGGCAAGAGAATCACTTGAACTGGGGAGGCAGAGGTTTCAGTGAGCCAAGACAACACCACTACACTCCAGCCTGGGTGAAAAAGTGACTGTCTCAAAAATAAATTAATTAATCAATTAATTAAAGAAACCAAACAAGGAGAAGGTTGGCTACCCTGAGATCAGCAAGGGCAGGATGCTGATGTTACCACCAGGCTCCATCCACATAGGAAGGGGTTGATGCTCCTGGAACCAGCACCAGGGGCCACCCTATGGAAGCTGGGGCCATGGAGAAGGCACAGACATGGCAGGAGAGGCTCCCAATCCCCATCAGGAACAGGGTGTGTGGTCACTGATGTCTGTCTTACTGATGAGTTGATACCACCTGCCAGAGACTCCAATTTGTTCAAAAGAGATTGATTCAGGCTGCTAAGAGCCTGGACATGCAGCCTGTCCTCTTCCACCCCCATATAAACAGCAGGAAAGAGATTAGTGGGAAACAGATACAACAGCCCAAGAGATGAGGCTGTCTTCACAGTGGCAAGGGAGTCAGGGGCTACTGGAGACAGAGGGACAGAGAAGAGGGAGGAAGACAGATGGAGGCACCTGCACCAGGGGATATGGGCACAGAAAAGACACGGAGATGCAGAGAGGGAGGAGAGAGACAGACACGGGGAGGGGAACCCTCACTCATTCCAGGTGCCATGGATGGGATGATAAAGAGAGATGCCTTCTAAACTCACAACTTCTCTTTCTAGGAAACCACAGAAAACCTTCCCTCCTGGCCCACCCAGGTCCCCTGGTGAAATCAGGAGAGAGAGTCATCCTGCAATGTTGGTCAGATATCATGTTTGAGCACTTCTTTCTGCACAAAGAGTGGATCTCTAAGGACCCCTCACGCCTCGTTGGACAGATCCATGATGGGGTCTCCAAGGCCAATTTCTCCATCGGTTCCATGATGCGTGCCCTTGCAGGGACCTACAGATGCTACGGTTCTGTTACTCACACCCCCTATCAGTTGTCAGCTCCCAGTGATCCCCTGGACATCGTGGTCACAGGTGAGAGTGTCTAGACATTGTTCTCATTGTCACTGGGACACAGAGTGAATGATCCAGGACTTGGAACCCCCAGGTGGTCATGAGGAAGATAAGTGTGGGATTCTTATGGAAAGAGAGTGACTTGGTGAGGTCTGTACCAACAGAGACAGAGAAACAGGAGACATAAGTACAGAACAGGTGTCATAACAGGGGACAGACACAGGGGCCATACAGGGAGGTAGAAAAGAGAGAAAGAGGTAAAGGAGACACTCAGACAGACAGACATGTCCCAGAGAGAGGTGTCCTTCCATGCTGACTTTGCTCAGAGACCTGGCACAGGTTAGAAGTTTCATTTCTGTTTTACCTCCACAAAGTGTTTCTACCAGAAGAACCCAAGGACACCCATATTTCTGACCTGAGTTGGGCCCTGTGGCCTCAGGCCTTGTGCCACCTACAGATGCCGTGTTTATTCTGACACCTCTGCCTTCCATGCAATGGAGAGTAATCATCCCAGGATATCATGGCCCCAGAACACCAACCCCTGTATGCTGTGTGAACTTGGGGTCCCCAGACTGGATTCTGAGGCTCATATTCCAAATAATCCCACATATGATAGGATCGCTGAGAGACACAGAGAAAAATCAGGGACACCAAAAAGCAAAGACATAAACACACACAAAATGAGCCAGAAGAAGGAGATTAAGAGATTCACAGACACATAAAAAGAAAGAAAAGAGGGCAGAGTGGAGAGAATGATGGAAAGGAGGAGAGAAAAGCCCCAAAATCAGAACCCTGAGGGAGGGACACAAAGACAGAGAAAGATAAAGATGTGGGGATGGATTGCAGAGATTCCAAATAGAACTAGAGAGACTGAGAGGCAGAGAAAGACAAGGAGACGGAGAGAGAGAGATGATAGATGGATAGATAGACGTAGATAGATGATAAATAGGTAGATGATAGATAATGGATTGGTTATAGATACATAGATGATGACTGATAGATGATACATAGAGATGATGATGATGACGATGATGATGATAGACACATAGATATATACATAGATGATACATAAATAGAGACAGAGAGGCAGACAGAGAGGTAATAGAGAGAGAGATAGATGATACATATATAGATAATAGATGATTGATGGATAGATAGACAGATAGACAATTGATAGAGAGATAGATAAGTGATACATAAATATAGATGATAGATAATTTGTAGATAGACACAAAATAGATAAATAGATAGATCGATAGATAATAGATAGAAATGTGCAGAAAGTTATGAACAAGACAGAAAGTGAGAGACTCAAAATTAAAGAAAAAGGAAGATCAAGTCAACCAATCCAAGGAGGGTCAGAGAGAATAAAACAATCCAAAAAGGGAAAACATACCTCAGGGTGGGGAAGTGAGGTCATAGACCTAGAGAGACAGAAAAGGTAGAAGGAGGAAACAGATATGAAGAGAGATGGGGTGGAGAGTGAGAGAGAGAGAGAGAGCATTAGGTCATAGAGCAGGGGAGTGAGTTCTCAGCTCAGGTGTGAGGGGAGCTGTGACAAGGAAGAACCTCCCTGAGGAAACTGCCTCTTCTCCTTCCAGGTCTATATGAGAAACCTTCTCTCTCAGCCCAGCCGGGCCCCAAGGTTCAGGCAGGAGAGAGCGTGACCTTGTCCTGTAGCTCCCGGAGCTCCTATGACATGTACCATCTATCCAGGGAGGGGGGAGCCCATGAACGTAGGCTCCCTGCAGTGCGCAAGGTCAACAGAACATTCCAGGCAGATTTCCCTCTGGGCCCTGCCACCCACGGAGGGACCTACAGATGCTTCGGCTCTTTCCGTCACTCTCCCTACGAGTGGTCAGACCCGAGTGACCCACTGCTTGTTTCTGTCACAGGTGAGAAAAGCCCATATCTCTCTCATGTCCTATGATCCTAAATCCTTAGCTAAGGAGCTTCCTGCTGATGATGGAGAAAAGCATGGACAGATGCAGAGAGAAGACACAGCAGGTGTGAGGGCGGAGTCAGGGCGCAGGATGGCAGACAGGGCACCTCCAAACCCTCCTTCATGGCCTGCATGGAGGCCTCCGATCAGGGCTCCAGGCACCCAGGCAGATGGAGAAAGCGGTCAGGACAGACCCAGAGAAGGGGAGACTGGGCTTAGTTTGGGGAGATCAGAGGTTCCCTCAGCCCCTCAATCTTACCCATTTCCCAGAAGCCCATCATGGCCTCTCACCCACACAGAGAGATATCATCACCAGCAACCCCTACACCCTTTTCTTTTCATTTTCAAAAATATTTATTGAGGTTAAATGTAACTATATAATTTACCACCTTTACCATTTTTAAAAGTAAAATCTAGTGGTCATAAATACCTTTATATGCTGGGCGTGGTGGTTCACAGTTGTAATCTCGGCGCTTTGAGAGGCCAAGGAAGGTGGATCATTTAAGATCAGGAACTCGAGATCACCCTGGCCAACATGTGGGAAATTCATCTTTACTAAACAGACAAGAAAAATTAGCCGAGCATGCTGGCATGCACCTGTAGTCCTAGCTACTTGGGAGGCTGAGGCAGGAGAAGCACTTAAAGCCAGGAGGCCGAGGTTGCACTGAGCCGAGATCATGCCACTGCACTGCAGCCTGGGAGACAGAGAGAGACTCTGTTTCTAAATAAATAAATACATCTATATTCTTTTTTTTGTTACCCTCCACCCTTCCCTTCCTGGCCTCTGGTGTCCACCATTGTATTCTCCACCTTCATGAGATCCACCTTTTATCTCCTGCATGTGGGTGAGAAATGGGAATCTTTGTAATGACCTCCAGTTCCATCCATGTGGCTGCAAATGACAGGATGTTATTGTTTCTATGGATGAGTAGTCTCCACTGTGTGTGTGTACCACAGTTCTCTATCCATTCACCCACTGATAGGCAGGTAGGTTGACTCCACATCTTGGCTACTGTGAACAGTGCTGGAACAGTCATATGAGTGCAGATATCACTTCGATACACTGATGTCCTTTCCTTTGGATATAAACCCAGTAGTGAAATTGCTGGATACTATGAAAGTTCTCTTTTTTTTTTTTTTCTTTTTTGAGAAAGAGTTTCCCTCCTTAGTCCAAGCTGGAGTCTAAGTGGTGAGATCTTGGCTCATTGCAACCTGTGCCTCCTAGGTTCAAATGATTGTCCTGACTCAGCCTCCCTAGTAGCTGTGATTACAGGTGCATGCCACCATGCCTGGCTAATTTTTGTATTTTTTTAGCACAGACGGGATATCCCAATTTTGGGCAGGCTGCTCTCAAACTCCTGACCTCAAGTGAGGTGCCTGCCTCGGTTTCCCAAAGTGCTGAAATTACAGGCATAAGCCACTATGCCCAGCCTCCTTTTAGTTTTTTAAAGAATTTCCATACTTTTCTCCATAATAGTTGTACTAATTTACATTCCTACCAACAGGGTACCAGGGTTCTCCTTTCTCTACCATCTTGCCAGCATTTGTTTTGCCTGTCTTGCAGATAAAAGCCATTTTACTTTACTTTATTTTATTTATTTATTTATGTTGAGATGGAGTTTCACTCATAGTCGCCCAGGCTGGAGTGCAAGGGTGTGATCTCAGCTCACTGCAACCTCCGCCTCCCGCGTTCAACTGATTCTCCTGCCTCAGCCTCCAAAGTAGCTGGGATTACAGGCGTGTGCCACCACGCCTAGCTAATTTTTGTATGTTTAGTAGAGAGGGAGTTTCTCCATGATGGTCAGGCTGGTCTCCCGACCTCAGGTGATCCGCCCACCTCCGCTTCCTGAAGTGCCGGAATTACAGGCGTGAGCCACCGGCCTAAAAGGCATTTTAATGGGATGAGATGAAAACTCATCGCGATTGTAATTTACATTTCTCTGATGATGAGTGATGCCGAGTACTTTTTCATATACGTGATCGCCATTTCTATGTTTTGTTTGTGGAGAAATGTCTCCTCATGTCTTTTGCTCGTTTTTTAATTAAATTGTTTTATTGAGTTGTTTGAGCTTCTTATATTTCCAGTTATTAATCCCGTCTCAGATGAATAGTTTGCAAATATTTGCTCCTATTTTGTGGGTTGTCTCTTCACTTTCTTGGTTTATCTTTTGTGGTGCAGAAGTTGCTTGGTTTGATGTAATCCTAATGGTCTATTTTTTGCTTTGATTACTTGTGTTTTGAAGGTTTTAAACAAAATGTCTTTCGTCAGACAAATGTCTTCCCCATTATTTTCTTCTACATGTTTCATAGGTTCAGGCCTTAGACTCATGTTTTTAATCCATTTTCATTTGATTTTTGTTTATGGTGACAGGTATAGATGCAGTTTTATTCCTCTGCATGTAGATATCCAGTTTTCCCCACACCATTTATTGAAAAGACTGTCCTTTCCTGATTGTGAGTTCTTGGCACCTTTGTCAAAGTCCATTAAATGGGCTGGGTATGGTGGCTCACACCTGCAATTCCAGCACTTTGGGAGGCCGAGGCGGGTGGATCACCTGAAGCCAGGAGTTCAAGACCAGGCTGGCCAACAGAGTGAAACCTCGTCTCTACTAAAAATACAAAAATTAGCTGAGCATGGTGACCAGTGCCTGTAATACCACTACTCGGGTGTTTGAGGCAAGAGAATTGCTTGAATCCAGGAAGTGGAGGTTGCATTGAGCTGAGATTGCACCTCTGCACTCCAGCCTGCATGACAGAGCAAGATTCCATCACACACACACAAAAAAAAGCCATTGGGTGTAAATGCATGGATCATATCCGTGTTCTCCATTCTGTTCCATTTTTTATGTGCCTTTCTTTATGCCAATGTCATGCTGTTTTGCTTACTACAGCTCTGTAACATATTTCTAAGTCAGGTAGTGTGATGCTCCTGTTTTCTCTTTATACCTTCAAGTCTCAAGACAGTGGGCATCGCACACAAAAATTATGGAGAAGAGGATCCCAAGACTCCCAGGGTCCAACATTAGATAACAGAGTGTTGGCCATGAACCAACCTCAAAGATTTCCATTGAGTAGAGGACAAGCACCCTCATTTCCTCACATCTCTCCTGTCCCATGTTCTAGGAAACCCTTCAAGTAGTTGGCCTTCACCCACAGAACCAAGCTCCAAATCTGGTGAGTAAAGGACCCCTCTTATCTCTGCTTTTGGAAACCTGGGGAGGTGGAAGCCTTGGATGCAAGCGTTGGCTCAAACCTCCCAGCTCTGTGAATGAGGGCCTGTCTTCCACCATCTCTGAACTCCAGACACTCCAACAGTGAAAGGGATCTAGGGCCACCAAAGGGCTCAGCGAAGTCTCTTAACCTTTAATGTCCTGCAGGTGAGACCTCCTACAAGCTAGAAGAATGATTGCCAATCTGACATCCTTCTCAGGAAAAATGCAGTGTTTTTTCTGCCTGCATTCCTAACTGGAGGATAAATTCCTGGGGACTTGAGAGAGGGAAGGGAAGGGAACATCTCATGAGGGTGGGTGTTTTAGAGAAGTTCCACTTGCCAAGGAATGAATTACTGTTGGTCATGAAGCAACCCTGGCTGACTCAGCAGAGCAAGAGCCTTGCCGTAACAGAGAACAGAGCTCATGCACGCACACTTCGACTCACTGACTCATTCAGCCACGGCCCCATGCTCAGGCTGTGCAGTTGGAATCCTTTCCTATTGTTGCCATAACAAATTTCCACAAGATTCGTGGGTGAAAATAAAGCGGCTTTTTAATTATCTTACAGTGCTGTAGCTCAAAGTATGAAGTGCATCTCACTGGGCTAAAAACAAGGTGACAGCAAGGCTGCCTTCCCTCTGAGGGTTCCAGGCAAGAATCTGCTTCTCACTTGTCCCAGCTTCTAAAGGCTCCCAGTTCCTTGGCTCCTGGTCCCCTTCCTCCTTCCTCAAAGCCCACAAAGACTGGTCACATCTCACATGGCATCACTCAGACCCTTCTTCCTTACCACACCTCTTTCTCTGAATGCTGCTCTCCCTTCTTCCTTATCTTTTGAAAACTTGGGGATTCTATTGGGTTCACCAAGATGAAAATCCATCATAATCTCCCGGAAATCATTCAGGATACCCTTGTTTTAAGTTCAGCTGACTAGCAACCGTAATTCCATCTGCAATCTTCATTCCTCCTTTCCATGTAAAATAACATATTCACAAGCTATGGAGGCCAGGACAGGGACATTTTGGGGTGGGACAGCATTCTCCTGCCTTCCACGAACGGTGAACAAGATGCATTTGGCCTCTGCTCTTGGGACACTGATATTGCAGATGGTTAAATGGGAGGGCAGAAAATGAATGCACAAGTGGACCAATAAATGAATGATCCATTGGGAAGCATCTGTGCATGAAATCTATTTGTTTGTTCGTTCATTTATTTATTGAGACAGAGTCTCCCTCTGTCTTCCAGGCTACAGTGCAGTGTCACGATCTTGGCTCACTGCAACCTGCGTCTCCTGGATCCAAGTGATTCTCCTGCCTCACCCTCTCGAGTAGCTGGGATTACAGGCAACTGCCACCATGCCCGGCTAACTCTTTTTGTATATTTTTTGTAGAGAGGATGTTTCACCATGTTGGCCAAGCTTGTCTGAAACTCCCAACCTCAAGTGATCCGACCATCTCAGCAACCCAAAGTACTGGGATTACAGGCGTGAGCCACTTTGCCCAGCCAGAATTCAAAATCAATAATAGATAATGCTGAGTGTATAATTTTGGGTGACAGAGAAGGTCTCACTAATCAGATATTTGTGACATTAATGAAAAACACGGATTGAACCCCTGAAAGATTGGCGGAAGGATTTTCCACACAGCTGTCAGCTGTGAAGGCACAAAGGTGAAAACAATCTGATGTTGAAGGAAGAGGCTCTGCCTCAAATGCTGGGAATGAAGTGGGGAGAATGACAAGACGACTGTAGAGAGACGGAGAGCACACTGGGTACACAGGAAACTAAGGAGCAACAAGGAGTGTGTGTTTGACACTCACAGCCATTGGATTCACCTCGGGGTAACCAGGAATCCCTACATGATTAATATGACTGACATGAAAATAAAGGAGGCCCAGGTGCGTAACTGGAATCTAGGAGACTGTGGAAAAGGCAATTGCCACCCCACTGGTGAAATGTGGTGCTGATTTAGACCCTAAGTGGATGAAGCAGATGGATATAAGCTATGCTTGGGAGGTAGAATCATTTGCAGGGAGGGCTTGCTGGGTTTGAGTTTCCTAGTTGTTTAATCCTTGCTAAATTAATTTCTTTCTGAGATTTATTCCTCCTACACATAAATCAATACCTGGCAAAGGAGTGACAGATATATGAGGGGTGGTGGAAATGAAGGGACCTATTATAGCATAGTATACAAGTCTGTGAACGGTGGCTCACTCCTGTAACCCAGCACTGCAGGAGGCTAAGGCCAGTGGATTCCAAGAAATCAGGAGTTCGAGACCAGCCTGGCCAACATGGTGAAACCCTATCTCTACATGGTGAAACCCTATCTCTCCTAAAAATACAAAAATTAGCCGAGCATGGTGGTGCATCCCTGTGATCCCAGCTCCTGCTCTGGAGGATGAAGCAGGAGAATGACTTCAACCCAGGAGGTGGAGGTTGCAGTGAGTGGAGATCGCATCACTGCACTCCAGCCTGGGTGACACAAGGAGACTCCGTCTCAAAAAATAAAAATAAGAAATGCATAAATATAATAAAACACACACGAACGACAAAGGCACCTGAATTCCCATCATCATTTTTCTATTTCTCTATAATTACTTCTTTGATTCTTTATCTTATCCATTAGACAATCAGCCTAAAACCTCTTCCGTATTTGGCTTTCTGTGAGCATGAGATCATATAGAAAATGTGAAAGCCCGCTGAATCCTCCAGCACAAATCCTGGAATAGAGAAAGTGCTCTGGTCATCACAAAAAAAACTTGCCCCCTCACCCAAATCCCCCACCTCACCCCTACTTCCAATCACCTGTGCAGATACAGATAGACCATGGGGAGGTAAATGCTAATACTCCTTGGAGTGAGTCCAGATCTTGGAATCAGAGATCAGTGCCAGCACTAGCTCCTGCTCCCCTTTCCTACTAATTCACAGGAGGACAGGTGGTATTGAAGCAATAGATAGTCGAGGGGGTGGTCCTTCCCCCAGCCTGTCAGGTAGAACAGCAGCCTAACATGTGTCTCCCGAGATCACAAAGAATAGCACATTTCACACGGGCTTCAACACTATTTTCTGGCTGTTTGACATAAGAGAATTCTACTTCGCATTTTTGATCTTGATTTCACTTTTGTTTCCTTTTCTTGGAGAATGCAAGTTGTTTAACTCAAGAATGCCGTGGATGTAGAAATCCTAAAGCACATTCGCTGTGTATCAATCCCAGTCCAGTCTTCCCAGAGAAGACTCTAAACACCTCCTGGACTGCACCTGGGCCTATGCCAATTCCTATCACTCACCGTCACTCCAGGGAGACAGAACACACAGAGAACACATTACACAGGCAGGTTCATTACTAACAGATAAGCAGCGAGTGACAACAGAAGCCTACATTTCAATGTGAGCCAGTTCCCCAAGGCTCAGAAAAGCTGCTCGAGACATGTGGAGTCACCCCATTTGCAGTGTAGCTGGGGGAAGCCAGAAAGCAGCCCAACCTGGGTTTTGTACCCTGGAGCCACAGGAAGCACTCAGCTAAAGCACTGCATCACGTCCTCCTCCAGGAAGAACAGGAAGACAGCCCAGGCTGTTCTGGGACTTTCCTCCTGATCTCAGGAAGTTGCTGTCTTAGTCCATTTTTGTTGCTCTAAAGGAACACTTGAGCCTGGGTAACTTCTAAACAAAAGATTTTGGTTTGCCTTACAGTTCCGCAGGCTGTACTGGAAGCATGGCACCAGCATCTATTTCTTGTGACTGCCTCAGGCTGCTCCCACTCTGGCAGAAGGGAAGGAGGGTCTGTCTGTGCAGAGACCACAGAGATCACACGGCAAGAGAGGGAGCAAGGGAGAGGGGGAGTGATGGAGCTTCCAAGCTCTTATGAACAACCAGCTCTCCAGGAACTAATAGAGGGAGAACTTGCTAACCCCGTCTCCTTAAAACAGCATTGATCTGTTCATGATGTATCCACCCCCATGACTCAAACACCTCCCAAGAGGCCCACCCTCCCACACTGGGGGGTAAATTTCAATCTGAGGTTTGAAGGGGTCAAACATCTCAACTAAAGTAGTGGTATCCTCAGCACGTTCTATGGTTACTATGAGAGCTATAACTGAGAAAGCAGGAGGAAGCTGGGTCTCCCGCCATCTGGGTGCTTGTCCTAAAGAGACGCTGTATGTGGTTACCTGTGAATCAAGAAATGCAAGACAATTCATAAAGAGGAACTGCTATGATTAGCTTCTTATTGGTGTCTCCTCTTCTTCCAGGTAACCTCAGACACCTGCACATTCTGATTGGGACCTCAGTGGTCAAAATCCCTTTCACCATCCTCCTCTTCTTTCTCCTTCATCGCTGGTGCTCCAACAAAAAAAAGTAAGTCTCACGAAGCAGAGGCCAGAGAGCTCAGGGCCATGTGGGGAAGCAGGATGGGAGCACACGGGTGTGTGTTCCTCACCAGCAGGATGGTCCCTGGCCCAAGACAGGAGCCACAGAGGCAGGACTTTCTAGAGAGAGCACCAGATTCCCTTCCCCTGCCTTCAGCTCACAGACCATTGCCTGATTCTGAACTGTATCCTCACGTCCCCTGCAGCCACTCACATCCAGGAGAAGGTTCCATGACAGGCAGAAAGTGGGAGATAGAATCAATGGAATGGGACCTCAGAGCTATTCATGGGATGGGTCCTTGAACTCAGAGAGATAGAATGTCTGAGTCTGCTGTTGGCAACTGAGGGACCTCAGGCACCTATGGCCTCCCCCTGTTTGTTGGTATCTGCTTATGAAATGAGGACCCAGAAGTGCCCTCCGAGCTCTTTTGTTGACTTCCGTCTTCTACAGATGCTGCTGTAATGGACCAAGAGCCTGCAGGGAACAGAAGTGAACAGCGAGGTAGGTGCTCCTCGGCCCAGCCTCGTGGCTAGTGTTATTCCCAAAGAGTCCTGAAAAATGTGAGCACCCTCCCTCACTCAGCATTTCCCTCTCTCCAGGATTCTGATGAACAAGACCATCAGGAGGTGTCATACGCATAATTGGAACACTGTGTTTTCACACAGAGAAAAATCACTCGCCCTTCTCAGAGGCCCAAGACACCCCCAACAGATACCAGCATGTACATAGAACTTCCAAATGCTGAGCCCAGATCCAAAGTTGTCTTCTGTCCACGAGCACCACAGTCAGGCCTTGAGGGGATCTTCTAGGGAGACAACAGCCCTGTCTCAAAACTGGGTTGCCAGCTCCCATGTACCAGCAGCTGGAATCTGAAGGCATCAGTCTTCATCTTAGGGCATCGCTCTTCCTCACACCACAAATCTGAATGTGCCTCTCACTTGCTTACAAATGTCTAAGGTCCCCACTGCCTGCTGGAGAAAAAACACACTCCTTTGCTTAGCCCACAGTTCTCCATTTCACTTGACCCCTGCCCACCTCTCCAACCTAACTGGCTTACTTCCTAGTCTACTTGAGGCTGCAATCACACTGAGGAACTCACAATTCCACACATACAAGAGGCTCCGTCTTAACGCAGCACTTAGACACGTGCTGTTCCACCTTCCCTCATGCTGTTCCACCTCCCCTCAGACTAGCTTTCAGCCTTCTGTCAGCAGTAAAACTTATATACTTTTTAAAATAACTTCAATGTAGTTTTCCATCCTTCAAATAAACATGTCTGCCCCCATGGTTTCGGTAATGGGACTCTTTTCTTGCCTAAGGCTTCCGGTGTTATCAGTACCATGTCCATATAATCCCATCTGTTCCCCACTGAGTTCTCATCCCTGGACTCTGATCTTCTGGAAGCAGGGTGGAGCCTCATTTGTCTCTGGGACTCCAATTTCCATCCAAAGATGTAGCACATAGGAGGTTCCAAGGATCGCGAATCACATGAACAAGTGATACTCTTACTCTCTGCAGACCTGGAAAGCTGGCAGAGTCATTCCACAATGAAACATTTGTAGAGTCATAGGCCTTGTTAGTCTCATCTCCATGGGGACACATATCAACACATCTTCTTTCATAATATAAATATACGGTCACTCCTCCATATCTGCGGGGTTTACAGGTGTTTATTGAACCAAGTATAAATCAAAAATATTGAGAGAAAGTATCCACAGAGTTTCAAAAAGCATAACTATGTTAAATGGACACAAATGAAGCTGTGTGTAGGCTGTATCAGGAATTATAGGTAATCTAGAGATGATTTCATGTATACAGGAGGATGTGCATAGGTTATTTGCAAATGCTGTGCCATTTCATATAAGAGGCTTGAGCATCTACAGATTTTGGTATCTGAGTGGAGATCTCAAAACCAATCACCCACGAATAGTGAAGGATGACCGTATATGACTTTTATTTCTCAAATTTAAATATAAATCATAAAAAATGTACAACTAGATAAAAACTAAGAAGTGTTTTTATAGTGTCAGTTAGATTTATTTTTTACTAGGTGTAACCCATTGGTTTAATATTATTTATTGAGAAGACATTCTATGCCACCTTAAACCACACAGCAGCCTTTGTCAACTCTAAAGGGATTGTGTGTACATGGATGTATTTTAGACACTGTTTCTGCTAAGGGGCTCTCTGTGTCCACACTCTTGATGACGCTGCACTTTATGTAGCCTTATAGAACCCTTTAAATTTAGTAGCCAGAGCCCTCTAATTTGTTATTATAGGCTATTTGCTTTTTTTTTCTTGAGGCGGAGTCTTGCTCTGTCGCCCAGGCTGGACTGCAGTGACACAATCTCAGCTCACTGCAACCTCCACCTCCCAGGTTCAAGCGATTCTCGTGCCTCAGCCTCTTGAGCAGCTGGCGTTACAGGTGCCTGCCACCAGGCACGGCTAATTTTTGGATTTTTAGCAGAGACACGGTTTCACTATGTTGACCAGGCTGCTCTCAAACTCCTTATCTCAGTTGATCCGCCCACCTCGGCTTCCCAACGTGCTGGGGAAAACTTGATTTTCTATAGCATTATGTTACTGGATATTTCTGTAAAATTTAAAACGAGGGAGGGAGAGAGACAGAGAGAGATCAAACTCCAGAGTTGGGACTCTGGAATCTTGGGTCATGAGACAAATTTTAGATTAAACTACAAAACTCCAGAATTTACAGGTGTGGTTTTTGCTGATAAAGTACAATTCTAAGATTGTAAATAATTGCATAATCCTTCCCTGGGAATTTAAATCATTTTAGCTGGTTCTGCTGTAATACTAGAAATACAAGCATGAAAAATTCTAATGGTTTATTAGTCACAATGACTCCGAAAACATTAATAATACCTATTAGATACTTTGCATATTACACAGGAAGAAGAGTTTGAATCTCAGATAAAAACAATAAAAATACATGAAAAGTCTTTCACGTTAGCACAGATTTTAGGCATCTTGTGTTCGGGAGGTTGGATCTGAGACGTGTTGTGAGTTGGTCATAGTGAAGGACGCGAGGTGCCAATTCTAGTGAGAACAATTTCCAGGAAGCCGTGTTCCGCTCTTGAGCAAGCACCCACTGGGCCTCATGCAAGGTAGAAAGAGCCTGCGTACGTCACCCTCCCGTGATGTGGTCAACATGTAAACTGCATGGGCAGGGCGCCAAATAACATCCTGTGCGCTGCTGAGCTGAGCTGGGGCGCGGCCGCCTGTCTGCACCGGCAGCACCATGTCGCTCATGGTCATCAGCATGGCGTGTGTTGGTGAGTCCTGGAAAGGAATAGAGGGAGGGAGTGCGGGGATGGAGATCTGGGCCCAGAGGTGGAGATATAGGCCTGGAGGTGGAGTTATGGGCCTGGAGTGGAGATCTGGGCCTGGAGTGGATATATGGGCCTGGAGATGGAGTGATGGGCCTAGAAGTGGAGATCTGGGTCTGGAGTGGAGATATGGGCCTGGAGGTGGAGATATGGGCCTGGAGTGGAGATCTGGGCCTGGAGTGGAGATAGGAACCCGGAGGGGAGATAGGAGCCTGGAGTGAAGATATTGGCCTGGGATGGAGATATGGGCCTGGAGTGGAGACATGGGCCTGGAGGTGGAGATATGGGCCTGGAGGTGGAGATATGGGCCTAGAGGTGGATATCTGGGCCTGGAGTGGACATATGGGCCTAGGATGGAGATATGGGCTTGGGGTGGAGATATGGGCCTGGATTGGAGATATGGGTCTAGGGTGGAAATATTGGCCTGGAGTGGAGATATGGGCCTGGAGTGGAGATATGGGCTTGGGGTGGGGATAGGGGCCTGGGGTGCGGATATGGGCCTGCAGGCTGGGTCTCTACACAGCCGACAGCCCTGTTCTTGGGTGCAGGCTGGCACTGAGGGTGAGTTTCCCTTCAGCCCAGCAAGGGCCTGGCTACCAAGACTCACAGCCCAGTGGGGGCAGCAAGG
Source organism: Homo sapiens (assembly GCF_000001405.40). Taxonomy (NCBI): domain Eukaryota; kingdom Metazoa; phylum Chordata; class Mammalia; order Primates; family Hominidae; genus Homo; species Homo sapiens. Next base: position 74,560 of record NT_187641.1, on the reverse strand, counting down.
GAGTCCTGGTTTGCCTGCAGATGGATGGTCCATCATGATCTTTCTTTCCAGGGTTCTTCTTGCTGCAGGGGGCCTGGACACATGAGGGTGAGTCCTTCTCCAAACCTTCGGGTGTCATCTCCCCACATAAGAGGATTTTCCTGAAACAGGAGGGAAGCCCGGTGGGGGATTTTCTTATAAACAAGGATGAGGAGACCCTGGGGTGCTCAGCCCACAGTTCCGACCTTGCCCTCCCCAGCCTTCCTTTCCCTTGGCTGAGTCAGGTTCTGTGGGAACCCGGGAGGGTAGACTGGGGTCCTCCAAGCTGGGCTGTGCGGCTGGGATGTGGTGTCACTGGCAGAGGAAGGGAGCAAAGCAGTGCTAGGAACAGCAGGCCTCTGAGGACAAAGGTGTAACTCACACCCTCCAGCGTTTCCATGACGGTAGGGGCTGCAGTGTGGCTGCTGTCATTCTACCTCAGAGGTGGGGGAACCCCAGCCAGGGCCCTGACCTTCCAAATCCTCTGTTGGGGGCTCAGTTGTGTATTGTGGTTCACACATTGGCTGATATTCCATTCACAAAGAACATGCCCTCGACCCCATGTCTATTTGTGTTGTTTTATGTGAGTAATCTTGCAGTATTAAAATCTAGTAGGAGTCCCTTACTCAGCACTTGCTCAAAGTTCTCAGCTGACACTTTTGTTGTAGAGAGACGCCAAGTCTATGCGGGGTGGGTCCTTCCCGTAGCCATGGGCACCCAAGTGTGGTAGGAGCCTTAGAAACGAGGAAAGTGGGGAGAATCTTCTGAGCACTGGCAGGGAGGGGCGGCTCCACATCCTCCTTTCTAAGGTGGCGCCTCCTTCTCCCCCAGGTGGACAGGACAAGCCCTTGCTGTCTGCCTGGCCCAGCGCTGTGGTGCCTCGAGGAGGACATGTGACTCTTCTGTGTCGCTCTCGTCTTGGGTTTACCATCTTCAGTCTGTACAAAGAAGATGGGGTGCCTGTCCCTGAGCTCTACAACAAAATATTCTGGAAGAGCATCCTCATGGGCCCTGTGACCCCTGCACACGCAGGGACCTACAGATGTCGGGGTTCACACCCGCGCTCCCCCATTGAGTGGTCGGCACCCAGCAACCCCCTGGTGATCGTGGTCACAGGTCAGAGGACTCATGTCTGGGCTTCTCCTTCTCCCACTTCCTGAATCCCAGAGCATCTGGTGGGGGTGTCCACCAGGGTCCAATCATCCAGGCCCTGACTGTATTTGGTGTCAATGGGGATTGAATACAGGGGAATGGGTGCTGTGGTGGAAAGAGTAACTGTCGGCAGCATGGCTATATTGTAATCCTTGGAGCCTGTGACTATTTATGTTATAGGACATGGGACTGAAGGGGAAGATGGAGTTCAGGTTGTTGATGAGTTGACCTTGAGATGGGGAGACGACCTGGACTCTCCCACTGGGCTCAGTGTAATCACAAGGGTCCACATGAGAGGAGGAGGAAGAGGAGAGTGGGGATTAGAGCAGCGTAGTGGGAGGGAGAGTCCACCAGCCACTGCGGGCTTTGAAAGTGGAGGAAGGCCAGAAGCCACGGAATGCAGGTGGCCTTTAGGGGCTGGAGAAGTCAATGGAACTGATTCTCCCGAGTCTCCAGAGGGAATGCAGCCCTGCAGATGCCTTGATTGTAGCCCAGGAAGAACAGGGTCTGATTTCTGTCAACAGAAGTGTTCTCTCCCGCCGCCGTGTTTGTGATAATTTTCTGCAGCAACAACAGGAAACAACACAGGAATCCAGGTCAAGGACAAGTTAAAAAACCAAACAAGAGGGTTGGCTACCCTAAGGTCAGCAAGGGTGCACTGCTGATGCCACCACCAGGCTGGAGCTGCATAGGGAGGGATCCACAGGGAGAGTCGGGGGTGGAGGGTGAGAGAGAGAGAGAGCATTAGGTCATAGAGCAGGGGAGTGAGTTCTCAGCTCAGGTGTGAGGGGAGCTGTGACAAGGAAGAACCTCCCTGAGGAAACTGCCTCTTCTTCCAGGTCTATTTGGGAAACCTTCACTCTCAGCCCAGCCGGGCCCCACGGTTCGCACAGGAGAGAACGTGACCTTGTCCTGCAGCTCCAGGAGCTCATTTGACATGTACCATCTATCCAGGGAGGGGAGGGCCCATGAACCTAGGCTCCCTGCAGTGCCCAGCGTCGATGGAACATTCCAGGCTGACTTTCCTCTGGGCCCTGCCACCCACGGAGGGACCTACACATGCTTCAGCTCTCTCCATGACTCACCCTATGAGTGGTCAGACCCGAGTGACCCACTGCTTGTTTCTGTCACAGGTGAGGAAAGCCCATGCCTGTCCCATGTCCTGTGATCCTAGAGCCTTAGCTGAGGAGCTTCCTGCTGATGATGGAGAGAAGCATGGACAGATGCAGAGAGAACACGCAGCATGGTGTGAGGGAGGGATCAGGGCACAGGATGGCAGACAGGGCACCTCCAAACCCTCCTGCACGGCCTGCATGGAGGCCCGCGGCCAGGGCTCCAGGCACCCAGGCAGATGGAGAAAGTGGTCAGGACAGACCCAGAGGAGGGAGACTCGGCTCAGTTTGGGGAGATCAGAGGCTCCTCAGACCCTCAACCTTACCCATTTCCCAGAAGCCCATACTGGCCTCTCACCCACACAGAGATGTCATCACCAGCAACCCCTACACCCTTTTCTTTCCGTTTGAAAAAACATTTATTGAGGTTAAATGTAACTATATAATTTGCCACCTTTACCATTTTTAAAAGTAAAATCTAGTGGTCATAAATTCCTTTATATGCAGGGTGCAGTGGCTCACAGTTATAATCTCGGTGCTTTGAGAGGCCAAGGAAGGTGGATCATTTAAGATCAGAGGCTCGAGATCAGCCTGGCCAACATGAGGGAAATTCATCTTTACTAAACAGACAAGAAAAATTGGCTGGGCATGCTGGCATGCACCTGTATTCCTAGCTACATGGGAGGCTGAGGCAGGAGAAGTACGTAAGCCCAGGAGGCAGAGGTTGCACTGAGCTGAGATCAGGCCACTGCACTGCAGCCTGGGAGACAGAGAGAGATTCTGTCTCTAAATAAATAAATACATCTATATTCTTTTTTATTGTTGTTGTTACACTCCACCCTTTACTTCCTGCCCTCTGGTAGCCACCATTCTACTCTCTACCTTCATGAGATCCACCTTTTAGCTCCTGTATATGGGTGAGAAATGGGAATCTTTGCAATGACCTCCAGTTCCATCCATGTGGCTGCAAATGTCAGGATGTTATTCTTTCTACGGATGAGTACTCTCCACTGTGTGTGTGTACTACATTCCCTCTATCCATTCACCCACTGACGGGCAGGTAAGTTGACTCCACATCTTGGCTACTGTGAACAGTGCTGCACCAATCGTATGAGTGCAGATATCACTTCGATACACTGATGTCCTTCCCTTTGGGTTTACACCCAGTAGTGGAATTGCTAGATCCTATCAACAGGGTACCAGGGTTCTCCTTTCTCTACCACCTTGCCAGCATTCATTTTGTCTGTGTTTCAGATAAAAGCCACTTTAATGGGATGAGATGATAGCTCACTGTGATTTCAATTGGCATGATTAGTGATACTGAGCACTTTTTCATGTACATGTTCGCCATTTGTACGTTTTGTTTGTTGAGAAATGTCTGTTCAGGTCTTTTACTAATTGTTAAATTAAATTCATTGTTTTATACCGTTGCTTGAGTTTTATGTATATTCTAGTTATTAATCCCCTCTCAGATGCATACTTCACAAATATTTTCTCCCAATTTGTCTCTTCTTCACTTTGTTGGTTGCTTCCTTTGCGGTGCAGAAGCTGCTTACTTTGATGTAATCCCGAAGGTCTATTATTTTGTTTTGATTTCTTGTGTTTTTGAGATTTCAAATAAAATGTCTTTCCTCAGACAAATGTCCTGGAGCATTTCCCCACTCTTTCCTTTTAGACGCTTAATGGTTTCAGGCCTTAAGTGTTTCTTCCATTTTCATTTGATTTCTGTGTATGGTGAGAGGTAGAGGTGCAGTTTCATCAACTGCATGTAGATACCAGTTTTCCCTGCTCCATTTATTGAAAAGACCGTCGTTTCCTGATTGCAGGTTCTTGGCACCTACAATCGTCAAAGTCCATTGGATGTGAATGCATGAATTATATCTGTGTTCTTCATTCTGCTCCATTGCTCTAAGGGCCTTTATGCCAATGTCATGCTGTTGTGCTTACTACAGCTTTGTAACATATTTTTAAGTCAGGGAGTGTGAGGCCTCCAGCACCTGTTTTGTCTTTATACCTCGAAATCTCAGGACACTGGGCATCATTTAACAATGATGATGGAGAAGGGGACGCCAGGACTCCTAGGGCCCAACATTAGATAACAGAGTGTTGGCCATGAACCAACCTCAAAGATTTCCTTTGAGTAGAAGACAGGCATCCTCATTTCCTCACCTCTCTCCTGTCCTGTGTTCTAGGAAACTCTTCAAGTAGTTCATCTTCACCCACTGAACCAAGCTCCAAAACTGGTGAGTAAAGATCCCTCTTATCTCTGCTTTTGGAAACCTGGGGAGGTTGGTATCTTGGATTCAAGCATTGGCTCAGCACCTCCCAGCTCTGTGATTGTGGGCCTGTCTTCTAACATCTCTGACCCCCAGACACTACAACAGCGAAGGGTATCTGAGGACAGCAAAGGGCTCAGTGAAGTCTCTTCATTTCAAATTTCTGCAGCTGAGACCTCCTCCAAGCTAGACGGACGAGTACAAATCTGACATCCTTCTCAGGGATAATGTGGTGTTTTTTCTGCCTGCATTCCAAATTGGAGGATAAATTCGAGGGGACTTGAGAGAGGGAGGGGAAGGGAACATCTGATGAGGGAAAGGTGATTTAGAGAAGTTCCACTTGCCAAGGAATGAGCCCCTGTTGGTCATGATGCGACCTTGGCTGAGTCAGCAGAGCAAGAGCCTTGCAGTAAGAAGGAACGTAGTTCATCCACGAATATGACACTTCCACTCACTCACTTATTCAGCCACTGCCCTGTGCTCTGACTGTACAGTGTGGAACCCTTTCCTGCTGTTGCCATAATAAATCTCCACAAACTTCATGGATGACAACAACACAGCTTTTAAAATTATCTTACAGTGTTATAGCTCAGAAATATGAAATGCATTTCACTGGGCTAAAATCAAGGTGACTGCGAGGCTGCCTTTTCTCTGAAGGTTCCAGGCGAGAATCGGCTTTTCACATTTCCCAGCTCCCAGAGGTTCCCACGTTCCTTGGTATCTGGTCCCCATCCTCCTTCCTCGAAGTCCACAAAAGCTCGTCACATCTCTCACGTGGCATCACTCAGATCCCTCTTCCTTACCTCACCTCTTTCTCTAAGTGTTGCTCTGACTTTTTCTTCCTCTTTTAAAGACTTTGGGATTCTATTGAGTTTACCAAGATAATCCATCACAATCTCCCTAAAATCACCCAAGATAACCTCTTTTTAAGTTCAGCTGATTAGCAACCATAATTCCATCTGCAATCTTTATTCCTCCTTTCATGTAAAATAACATATTCACAAGCTATGGAGGCTAGGACAGGGACATTTTGGGGGTGGGCCAGCATTCTCCTGCCTTCCACAAATGGTAAACACGATGCATTTGGCCTCTGCTCTTAGGACACTGACATTGCAGATGGGCAAATGGGAGGGCAGAATATGAATGCACAAGTGGACCAGTAATGATTGATCCATTGGGAAGCATCCGTGCATGAAATCTATTTACCTATTTATTTATCTATTTATCTATTTATGTATTTATTTATTTGCGGCGAAGTCATTCTCTGTCCCCGGGCTGGAGTGCAGTGGCATGACCTCAGCTCACCACAACCTCCGCCTCCCGGGTTCAGGCGATTCTCCTGCCTCAGCCTCCTGACTAGTTGTGATTCCAGTCCCCTCCACCACACCCAGCTAATTTTCTTTTATATTTTTTAGTAGAGATGGAGTTTCACCATGTTGCGCAGATTGTCTCCAACTCCCAACCTCAAGTGATCCGACCGTCTCAGCATCCCAAAATGCTGGGACTCAAGGCGTGAGCCACTGCGCCCAGCCGAAATTTAAAATAAATAATAAAGAATTCTAAGTGTATAATTTCAGGAGACAGAGAAAGTCTCACTAATCAGATAATATTTGTGACCATAATGAAAAAAAAAAGTAGATTCAACCCCTGGAAGATGGGCGGAAGGATTTTCCACACACAGCTGTCAGCCGTGAAGGCACAAATGTGAAAACAATCTGATGTGGAAGGAAGAGGCTCTGCATTCAAATGCTGGGAATGACGTGGGGAGAATGACAAGATGACTGTAGGGAGACGGAGAGCACACTGGGTACACAGGAAACTAAGGAGCAACAAGGAGCGTGTGTTTGACACTCACAGCCATTGGATTCACCTCGGGGTAACCAGGAATCCCTACATGATTAATATGACTGACATGAAAATAAGGGACGCCCAAGTGCGTAACTGGAATCTAGGAGACCGTGGAAAAGGCAATTCCCGCCCCACTGGTGAAATGTGGTGCTGATTTAGACACTAAATGAATGAAGTAGATGGGTATAAGATATGTCTGTGAGGTAGAATCATTTGTAGGGAGGTCTTGCTGGATTTGATAATGCCTACTTATTTAATTTTGAATATATTAATTTCTTTCTGAGATTTATTTTTCCTACATGTAAATCAATATCTGGCAGAGGAGTGATAGATAGATGAGGGGTGGTGCAAATGAAGGGACTTATTATAGCATAATATACAAGTCTGTGAATGGGAGCTTACGCCTGTAACCCAACACTTTGGGAGGCCAAGGCGTTTGGATCACTTGAGGTCAGGAGTTTGAGACCAGCCTGGCCAACATGGAGAAACCCCATGCTCTTTTTAGCAACCAGTCCTAGGGACCTCATGGAGAACTTGCCAACCACGTCTCATGGGGACAGCATTAATGTATTCATGATGGATCCACCCCCATAACTGGAACGTCTCTCAATAGGCCCAGCCTCCCACACTGCGAGATAAGTGTCAACGTGAGGTTTGGCGGGGTCAAACATTCAAACTATAGCAGTGGTATCCCCAGCATGTTCTCTGATTATTTTGAGAACTATAACTGAGAAAGCAGGAGAAAGCTGGGTATCCTGCCATCGGGGAACTTGTCCTAAACAGATGTTGTATGTGCTTAGCTGGCAACCAAGAAATGAGAGACAATCCATAAAGAGGAACTGCTATAATTAGCTTCTTATTGGATTCCCACCTTCCCCCAGGTATCCGCAGACACCTGCACATTCTGATTGGGACCTCAGTGGCTATCATCCTCTTCATCATCCTCTTCTTCTTTCTCCTTCATTGCTGCTGCTCCAACAAAAAGAGTAAGTCTCACGAAGCAGAGGTCAGAGAGCTCAGGACCATGTGGGGAAGCAGGATGGGAGCACACTGGTGTGTGTTCCTGACTGGCAGGATGGTCCCTGGACCAAGGCAGGAGCCACAGAGGCAGGGCTTTCTAGAGAGAGCACCAGACACCCTGCCCCTGCCTTCAGCTCACAGACCATTGCCTGATTCTGAACTGTATCCTCACGTCCCCTGCAGCCACTGACATCCAGGAGAAGGTTCCATGACAGGCAGAAAGGGGAGACAGAATCACTGGGATGGGAACTCAGAGCTATTCATGGGATGGGTCCTTGAGCTCAGAGAGATAGAATGTCTGGGTCTGGCTGATGACAGCTGAGGGACCTCAGGCACCTACGGCCTCCCGCTGTGTGTTGGTGTCTGCTCATGAAATGAGGACCCAAAAGTGCCCTTCCAGCTGTTTTGATGACTTCTATCTCCTACAGATGCTGCTGTAATGGACCAAGAGCCTGCCGGGGACAGAACAGTGAACAGGGAGGTAGGTTCTCCTCAGCCCAGCCTCATGGATTGAGTCTCATTCCCTAATAGTCTTGAAGAATGTGAGCACCCTCCCTCACTCAGCATTTCCCTCTCTCCAGGACTCTGATGATCAAGACCCTCAGGAGGTGACATATGCACAGTTGGATCACTGCGTTTTCACACAGACAAAAATCACTTCCCCTTCTCAGAGGCCCAAGACACCTCCAACAGATACCACCATGTACATGGAACTTCCAAATGCTAAGCCAAGATCATTGTCTCCTGCCCATAAGCACCACAGTCAGGCCTTGAGGGGATCTTCTAGGGAGACAACAGCCCTGTCTCAAAACCGGGTTGCTAGCTCCCATGTACCAGCAGCTGGAATCTGAAGGCATCAGTCTTCATCTTAGGGGATCGCTCTTCCTCACACCACAAATCTGAACATGCCTCTCTCTTGCTTACAAATGTCTAAGGTCCCCACTGCCTGCTGGAGAGAAGACACACACCTTTGCTTAGCCCACAATTCTCTATTTCACTTGACCCCTGCCCACCTCTCCAACTGAACTGGCTTACTTCCTAGTCTACTTGAGGCTGCAATCACACTGAGGAACTCACAATTCCAGACATACAAGAGGCTCCCTCTTAACATGGCACTGAGACACGTGCTGTTCCACCTTCCCTCATGCTGTTTCACCTTTCCTCAGACTATTTTCCAGCCTTCTGTCAGTCAGCAGTGAAACTTATAAAATTTTTTGTGATTTCAATGTAGCTGTCTCCTTTTCAAATAAACATGTCTGCCCTCATTGCTTTAGGTAATGTGACACTATTCGCTGAAAGAAACCGCTGTTATCATTACCATGTCCACATAACCCCATCTGTTATCCACTGGGTTCTCTCCCCTGGACTCTGAGCTTCTGGAAGCAGGGTGGAGCCTCATTTGTCTCTGGGACTCCAATTTCCATCCAAAGATGCAGCACATAGGAGGTTCCAAGGATCATGAATCACATGAACAAGTGATATTCTTACTCTCTGCAGACCTGGAAAGCTGGCAGAGTCATTCCACGATGAAACATTTGTAGAGTCATAGGCCTTGTTAGTCTCATCTCCATGGGGACACATATCAACACATCATCTTTCATGCTATATATATATATACAGTCGCTCCTCCGTATCTGTGGGGTTTACAGGTGTTTATTGAACCAACTATAAATAAAAAATATTCAGAGAAGAAAATCCACAAACTTTCAAAAAGCAAAACTATGTTGAAGGGACACAAATGAAGCAGTGTGTAGGCCATATCAGGAATTATAAGTAATCTAGAGATGATTTCATGTACACAGGAGGATGTGCATGGGTTATATGCAAATGCTGTGCCATTTCATGTAAGAGGCTTGAGCATCTGCAGATTTTGGTATCTGAGTGGAGATCCTGAAACCAATCACCCAGGAATAGTGAAGGATGACCGTATAAAACTGTTATTTCTCAATTTTAAATATAAATCATAAAAAAATTATAAACTAGATAAAAACAAGAAGTGTTTTTATAGTGTGAGAATAAGTTTAGATTTATTTTTTCCTACGTGTAACCCTTTGGTTTAATATTATTTATTGAGAAGACATTCTATGCCACCTTAAACCACAGGGCAGCCTTTGTCAACTCTAAAGGGACTGTGTGTACACGGATGTATTTTAGACACTGTTTCTGCTAAGGGGCTCTCTGTGTCCACACTCTTGAGGATGCTGCACTTCATGTAGCCTTATAGAACCCTTTAAATTTAGTAGCCAGAGCCCTCTAATTTGTTATTATAGGCTACTTGCTATTTTTTTTTTCTTAAGGCGGAATCTTGCTCTGTCACCCAGGCTGGACTGTAGTAGTGCAATCTCAGCTCACTGCAAACTCCGCCTCCCAGGTTCAAGCGATTCTCGTGCCTCAGCCTCTTGAGTAGCTGGCATTACAGGTGTCTGCCACCAGGCACGGCTAATTTTTGAATGTTTAGCAGAGACACGGTTTCACTATGTTGGCCAGGCTGCTCTCAAACTCCTCATCTCAGTTGATTCGCCCACCGCGGCTTCCCAACATGCTGGGGGAAACTTGATTTTCTATAGCATTATGTTACTGGATATTTCTGTAAAATTTAAAATGAGGGAGGGACAGAGACAGAGAGAGAGCAAACTCCAGAGTTGGGACTCTGGAATCTTGGGTCATGAGACAAATTATAGATAAAACTATAAAAATCCAGAATTTACATGTGTGGTTTTTGCTGATAAAGTACAATTCGAAGATTGTAAATAATTGCATAATCCTTCCCTGGGAATTTAAATCATTTTAACTGGTTCTGCTGTAATACTAGAAATACAAGCATGAAAAATTCTAATGGTTTATTAGTCACAATGACTCTGAAAACATTAATAATACCTATTAGATATTTTGCATATTACACATGAAGAAGAGTTTGAATCTCAGATAAAAACAATAAAAATACATGAAAAGTTTTTCACGTTAGCACAGATTTTAGGCATCCTGTGTTCCGGAGGTTGGATCTGAGACGTGTTTTGAGTTGGTCATAGTGAAGGACACGAGGTGTCAATTCTAGTGAGAACAATTTCCAGGAAGCCGTGTTCTGCTCTTGAGCGAGCACCCACTGGGCCTCATGAAAGGTAGAAAGAGCCTGCGTACGTCACCCTCCCATGATGTGGTCAACATGTAAACTGCATGGGCAGGGAGCCAAATAACATCCTGTGCGCTGCTGAGCTGAGCTAGGGGTGCGGCCGCCTGTCTGCTCCGGCACCACCATGTCGCTCATGGTCATCAGCATGGCATGTGTTGGTGAGTCCTGGAAGGGAATAGAGGGAGGGAGCGCGGGGATGGAGATCTGGGCCCAGAGGTGGAGATATAGGCCTGGAGGTGGAGTTATGGGCCTGGAGTGGAGATATGGGCCTGGAGGTGGAGATATGGACCTGGAGTGGAGATATGAGCCTGGAGTGGAGATATGGGCCTAGAGTGGAGATATGGGCCTGGAGGTGGAGATCTGGGCCTGGAGTGGAGATCTGGGCCTGGATTGGAGATATGGGCCTGGAGTGGAGATATGAGCCTGGAGTGGAGATATGGCCCTGGAGTGGAGATAGGGGCCTGGAGTGCAGATATGGGCCTGGAGTGGAGATGTGGGTCTGGAGTGCAGATATGGGCCTGGAGGTGGACATAAGGGCCTGGAGTGGAGATATGGGCCTAGAGTGGAGATATGAGCCTGGAGATGGAGATATGGGCCTGGAGTGGAGATATGGGCCTGGAGGTTGGAGATATGGGCCTGGAGTGGAGATATGGGCCTGGAGCGGAGATATGGGCGTGGGGTGGAGATATGGGCCTTGAGTGGAGATATGGGACTGAAGTGGAGATATGGGTGTGGGGTGGAGATATGGGACTGGAGTGCAGATATGGGCATGGGGTGGAGATATGGGACTGGAGTGGAGATATGGGCGTGGAGTGGAGATATGGGACTGGAGTGGAGATATGGGCGTGGGGTGGAGATATGGGCCTGGAGTGGAGATATGGGCGTGTGGTGAAGATATGGGCCTGGAGTGGAGATATGGGCCTGGAATGGAGATATGGGCGTGGGGTGGAGATATGGGACTGGAGTGGAGATATGGGCCTGTTGTGGAGATATGGGCTTGGAGTGGAGATATGATCCTGGAATGTAGTTATGGGCCTGGAGGTGGAGATCTGGGCCCGGGGTGGAGATATGGGCCTGGAGTGGAGATATGGGCCTGGAGAGGAGATATGGGCCTGGAGTGGAGATATGGGCCTGGACTGGAGTTATGGGCCTGGGGTGGAGATCTGAGCCTGGATTGCAGATGTGGGCCCAGATTGGCTATATGGGCCTAGGGTGGGAATATCAGCCTGGAGTGGAGATATGTGCCTGGAGTGGAGATATGGGCTTGGGGTGGGGATATGGGCCTGGAGGCTGGGTCTCTGCACAGCCGAGAGCCCTGTTCTTGGGTGCAGGTAGGCACTGAGGGTGAGTTTCCCTTCGGCCCAGGAAGGGCCTGGCTACCAAGACTCACAGCCTAGTGGGGATAGCAAGGGAGGCCTGGTTTGCCTGCAGATGGATGGTCCATCATGGTCTTTCTTTCCAGGGTTCTTCTGGCTGCAGGGGGCCTGGCCACATGAGGGTAAGTCCTTCTCCAAACCTTAAGGTGTCATCTCCCCACATAAGAGGATTTTCCTGAAACGGGAGGGAAGTCCTGTCGGGGAGTCTCTCTTAAACTAGAAAGAGGGGACCCTGGGGTGCTTGGCCCACAGTTCCGACCTCGCCTCCCCAGCCTTTCATTTCCTTGGCAGAGTCAAGTTCTGTGGGGACCAGGGTTACACTAGGGTGCTCAAAGCTGGGTTGTGTGGTGGGGAAGTGGTAGGAACAGCAGATCCTCTGAGGACAAAGGTGTTACTCACACACTTCAGCGTTTCCATGATGGTAGGGGCTGCAGTGTGGCTGCTCTCATTCTACCAGAAGAGGTGGGAAACCACAGCCATGGCCCTGACATTCCAAATCCTCTGATGGGGGCTCAGTTGTTTATTTTCATTCAGGCATCTGCTGATATTCCATTCTCAAAGGACATGCCCTCCACCCCATGTCTACCCTGTGTTGTTTTATGTGAGTAATCTTACAGTATTAAAATCTAGTAGGAGTCTCTTACTCAGCACTTGCTCAAAGTTCTCAGCTGACATTTTTGTTGTAGGGAGACACCTTGTCTTTGTGGGATGAGTCCTTCCTTTAGCCCTAGGCACCAAGGTGTGATAGCAGCCATAGAAATGTGGAAAGTGGGGAGAATCTTCTGAGCACAGGGAGGGAGGGGCGGCTGCACATCCTCCTCTCTAAGGTGGCGCCTCCTTCTCCCCAAGGTGGTCAGGACAAGCCCTTGCTTTCTACCTGGCCCAGCCTTGTGGTGCCTCCAGAACATGTGACTCTTCGGTGTCACTCTAATCTTGGGTTTAACAACTTCAGTCTGTACAAGGATGATGGGGTGCCTGTCCCTGAACACTACAACAGAATATTCTGGAAAAGCCTTTTCATGGGCCCTGTGACCCCGTCACACACAGGGACCTATAGATGCCGGGGTTCACACCCACACTCCCCCAGTGGGTGGTCGGCACCCAGCAACCCCCTGCTGATCATGGTCACAGGTCAGAGGGCTCCTGTCTGGGATTCTCCTTGTCCCACCTCCTGAATCCCAGAGCTTCCGGTAGGCATGTCCTTGAGGGTCCCTTCACGCAGGCCCTGACTGTATTTGGGGTAAAGGGGGATTGAATACAGGGAAATGGGTACTGTGGTGAGAAGAATAATTGTCCCCAGTGATGACTACATTCTAATCCCTGGAGTCTGTGACTATTTATGTTATAGGGGAAGGGACTGAAGGGGAAGATGGAGCTCAGGTTGTTGATGAGTTGACCTTGAGATGGGAGAAGGCCTGGACTGTCCCCCTGGGCTCAGTGTAGTCACAAGGGTCCACATGAAAGGAGGAGGAAGAGGAGAGTGGGGATTAGAGCAGCATAATGGGAGTCTCCATCAGCTTTGAAGGTGGAGGAAGGCCAGGAGCCATGAATGCAGGTGGCCTATAGAGGCTGGAAAAGTCAAGGAACTGATTCTCCTGAGTCTCCAGAGGGAACGAAGCCCTGCAGGTGCCTTGATTTTAGCCCAGGAAAAACAGGGCCCGACTTCTGCCTCCAAAAATGGAAGGGGTCAGTGTGCTCTCTCCTGCTGCCATGCTGCTGATAATTTTCTACAGCAGCAACAGGAAACCAACACCGGAACCCAGCTCGAGGAAAAGTTAAGAAAGGACACAAGGATAGCCGGGCGTGGTGGCAGGTGCATGTAATCCTAGCGACTTGGGAGGCTGAGGGCAGGAGAATCACTTGAACCCAGGAGACAGAGGTTGCAGTGAGCCTAGACCACACCACTTCACTCCAGCCTGGGCAAAGGAGTGAGACTCTGTCTCCAAAATTAATTAATTAAAGAAACCAAACAAGGAGAAGGTTGGCTACACCAAGATCAGCAAGTGTGGGATTATGATGCCACCACCAGGCTCCATCCACATAGGGAGCGGTTGATACTCCTCCAACCAGCACCAGGAGCCAGGCTATGGAAGCTGGTACAGGCATGGCAAGAGTGGCTCCCAGTCCCCACCAGGAAAAGGGTGTGTGGACACTGGTGCCTGCCTTACTGTTCAGTTCATACCTCCTGCCAAGGATTCCAATTCGTCCAAAAGAGATTGAACCAGGCTGCTAAGAGCCTGGATGTGCAGCCTATCCTGGTTCCTCTTCCACCCCCACATAGACAGCAGGAAAGACATTAGTTCAAAATAGATACAACAGCCGAAGAGATGAGGCTGAGCCCAGCGGCAAGGCAATCAGAGGTTACTAGAGACAGAGGGACAGAGAAGAGGGAGGGAGACAGATGGAAGGACCTGCACCAGGAGTTATGGGCACAGAAAAGAACATGAAGACACAGAGAGGAAGGAGAGAGACAGACACCAGGGAGGGGAAGCCTCACTCAATCCAGGTGCCATGGATGGGATGATAAAGAGAGACACCTTCTAAATTCACAAACTCTCTTCCTAGGATTCCGCAGAAAACCTTCCCTCCTGGCCCACCCAGGTCGCCTGGTGAAATCAGAAGAGACAGTCATCCTGCAATGTTGGTCAGATGTCATGTTTGAGCACTTCCTTCTGCACAGAGAGGGGACGTTTAACGACACTTTGCGCCTCATTGGAGAGCACATTGATGGGGTCTCCAAGGCCAACTTCTCCATCGGTCGCATGAGGCAAGACCTGGCAGGGACCTACAGATGCTACGGTTCTGTTCCTCACTCCCCCTATCAGTTTTCAGCTCCCAGTGACCCTCTGGACATCGTGATCACAGGTGAGAGTGTCCAGACATTCTTCTCATTGTCATTCGGACACAGAGTGAATGATCCAGGACTTGGAGGCCCAGGTGGTTGTAAGGAAGATGAGCTTGGTATTCTTATGGAGAGAGACTGACTTGGTGAGGTCTGTACCAACAGAGACAGAGAAACAGGAGACACAAGTACAGACCAGGTGTCATAACAGAGGACAGACACAGGGGCCATTCCGAGAGTTAGAAAAGACAGAAGGAGTTAAAGGAGACAGACAGACAGACATGTCCCAGAGAGAGGTGTCCCTCCATGCTGACTTTGCTCAGAGACCTGGCACAGATTACAAGTTTCATTTCTGTTTTACCTCCACAAAGTGTTCTCTACCAGGAGAACCCAAGGACACCCATATTTCTGACCTGAGTTGGGCCCTGTGGCCTCAGGCCTTCTGGCACCTACAGATGCCGTGTTTATTCTGACACCTCTGCCTTCCAAGTAATGGAGAGTAATCGTCCCAGGATATCATGGCCCCAGAACACCAACCCCTGTATGCTGTGTGAACTTGTAGTCTCCAGACTGGATTCTGAGGCTCACATTCCAAATAACCCCACATATGAAAGGATCACTGAGAGGCACAGAGAAAAATCAGGAACACCAAAAAGCAAAGACATAAACACACAGAGAATGGGCCAGAGGAAGGAGATTGAGAGACTCACAGACACATAAAGAGAGAGAAAAGAGGGCAGAGGAGTGGTGAGAATGATGGAAGGGAGCAGAGAAAAGCACTAAAATTAGAGTCCTGAGGGAGAGGCACAAGGACATAGAAAGATGGAGATGTGGGGATGAATTGCAGAGATTCCAAAGAGAACTAGAGAGACCGAGAGGCAGAGCAAGACAGATGATAGATGGATAGATATAGATAGATGATAAATAGGTAGATGATAGATACTAGGTTATAGATACATAGATGATGATTGATTGATTCATTAATAGATGAGACGTAGAGATGATGATGAAGACAGATAGATAATACATAGAGATAGAGAGGCAGACAGAAGTCATAGAGAGAGAGATGATACATAGATATAGATAACAGATGATTGATGGATAGATAGACAAGTGATAGATACATAGATGATATATAGATATAGATGACAAGTAGAGAATTTGTAGATAGGCACCGAATAGATAAATAGATAGATCAACAGATAATAGATAGAAATATGCAGAAAGTTATGAACAGGACACAAAGTGAGAAACTTAGAATTTAAAAAAGTAACATCAAGTCAACCAATCCAAGGAGAGTCAGAGAGAATAAAACAATCCAAAAACGGAAAACATATCTAGAGGTGGGGAAGCGAGGTCAGAGACCTAGAGAGACAGAGAAGGTGGAAGGAGGAAATAGACATGAAGAGAGATGGGGTGGAGGGTGAGAGAGAGAGAGAGAGAGCATTAGGTCATAGAGCAGGGGAGTGAGTTCTCAGCTCAGGTGAAGGGAGCTGTGACAAGGAAGATCCTCCATAAGGAAAATGCCTCTTCTCCTTCCAGGTCTATATGAGAAACCTTCTCTCTCAGCCCAGCCGGGCCCCACGGTTCTGGCAGGAGAGAGCGTGACCTTGTCCTGCAGCTCCTGGAGCTCCTATGACATGTACCATCTATCCACGGAGGGGGAGGCCCATGAACGTAGGTTCTCTGCAGGGCCCAAGGTCAACGGAACATTCCAGGCCGACTTTCCTCTGGGCCCTGCCACCCAAGGAGGAACCTACAGATGCTTCGGCTCTTTCCATGACTCTCCCTACGAGTGGTCAAAGTCAAGTGACCCACTGCTTGTTTCTGTCACAGGTGAGGAAAGCCCATGGCTGTCCCATGTCCTATGATCCTAGAGCCTTAGCTGAGGAGCTTCCTGCTGAGGATGGAGAGAAGCATGGACAGATGCAGAGAGAAGATGCATCCTCGGTGTGAGGGAGGGATCAGGGCACAGGATGGCCGACAGGGCACCTCCAAACCCTCCTACATGGCCTGCATGGAGGCCCGCAGCCAGGGCTCCAGGCACCCAGGCAGATGGAGAAAGCGGTCAGGAGAGACCCAGAGGAGGGAGACTGGGCTCAGTTTGGGGAGATCAGAGGTTCCCTCAGCCCCTCAACCTTACCCATTTCCCAGAAGCCCATCCTGGCCTCTCACCCACACAGAGATGTCATCACCAGCAACCCCTACACCCTTTACTTTTGTTTGAAGAAATATTTATTGAGGATAAATATACCTATATAGCTTACCACCTTTAACATTTTTTTTTTTTTGAGGCAGAGTCTAGCTCTGTCCCCTATGCTGGAGTGCAGTGGCACAATCTCAGCTCACTGCAACTTCCGCCTCCTGGGTTCAAGCGATTCTCCTGCCTCAGCCACCTGAGTAGCTGGTGCTACAGGTGCGCACCACCACGCCAGGCTACTTTTTGTATTTTTAGTAGAGAGGTGGTTTCACCATGTTGGTCGAGCTGGTCTGCAACTCCTGACCACGTGATCCACCCGCATCTGCCTCCCAAAGTGCTGGGATTACAGGCATGAGCCACCACGCCCAGCCACATTTACCATTTTTAAGTGTAAAGTCTAGTGGTCATAAATACATTTATATATATATATATATATACATTTTTTTTACCCTCCACCCTTTTCTTCCTGCCCTCCAGTAGCCACCATTCTACTCTCTACCTTCATGAGATCCACCTTTTAGCTCCTGTATATGGGTGAGAAATGGGAATCTTTGTAATGACCTCCAGTTCCATCCATGTGGCTGCAAATGACAGGATGTTATTCTTTCTATGGATGAGTAGTCTCCACTGTGCGTATGTACTACATTCTCTCTATCCATTCACCCACTGATGGGCAGGTAGGTTGACTCCTCATCTTGGCTACTGTGAACAGTGCTGCACCAATCATACGAGTGCAGATATCACTTCGATATATTGATTTACTTTCCTTTGGATATAAACCCAGTAGTGAAATTGCTGGATACTATGAAAGTTCTCTTTTTTTTTTTTTTCTTTTTTGAGAAAGAGTTTCCCTCCTTAGCCCAAGCTGGAGTCAAAGTGGTGCGACCTTGGCTCATTGCAACCTCCGCCTCCTGGGTTCCAATGATTTTCCTGCCTCAGCCTCCCTAGTAGCTGGGATTACAGGTGCACGCCACCATGCCTGGCTACTTTTTGGTTTTTTTAGTATAGATGCGGTTTCCCCATGTTGGCTGGGCTGCTCTCAAACTCATGACCTCAACTGAGGTGCCCGCCTCAGTCTCCCAAAGTGCCGGGATTACAGGCCTGATCCACCACACCCAACCTCTTTTTAGTTCTTTAAAGGACTTCCATACTTTTCTCCGTAATCGCTGTACTAATTTACACTCCTCCCAACAGGGTACCAGGGTTCTCCTTTCTCTAGCACTTTGCCAGCATTTCTTTTGCCTGTCTTGCAGCTAAAAGCCATTTTATTTATTTCATTTTATTTTGAGATGGAGTTTTGCTCTTCTCACCCAGGCTGGAGTGCAGTGGCGCTATCTCGGCTCACCACAACCTCCACCTCCCAGGTTCAAGCGATTCTCCTGCCTCAGCCTCCCGAGTAGCTGGAATTACAGGCACACGCCACCACGCCCGACTAATTTTTGTATTTTTAGTAGAGACAGCGTTTCTCTATGTGGGTCATACTGGTCTCAAACTCCCGACCTTATGAGATTCACCCACCTCAGGCTCTCAAAGTTCTAGGATGACAGACGTGAGCCACCTCACCCGGCCTAAAAGCCATTTTAATGGGGTGAGATGAAAACTCACTTTGATTTTAATTTGCATTTCTCTGATGATGAGTGATACTGAGCACTTTTTCATATGTGGGGAAATTTCATGTCTTTTGCTCCTTTTTCAATTAAATCATTTGTTTTATTGAGTTGTTTGAGCTTCTTATATTTCTAGTTATTAATCCCATCTCAGATGCATAGTTTGCACATATTTGCTCCCAATCTGTGGGTTGTCTCTTCACTTTGTTGGTTTATTTTTAGCAGTGCAGAAGTTGCTTAGTTTGAGGTAATCCCAATGGTCTATTTTTGCTTCGATTACTTGTGTTTTCAAGGTTTAAAACAAAATGTCTTCCTTCAGACAAACGTCCTGGAGCATTTCCCCAATATTTCTTCTACGTGTTTCATAGGTTCAGGCCTTAGACTCACATCTTTAATCCATTTTCATTTGATTTTTGTGTATGGTGACAGGTAGAGGTGCAGTTTCATTCCTCTGCATGTAGATGTCCAGGTTTCCCTGCACTGTTTATTGAAAAGACTGTCCTTTCCTGATTGTGAGTTCTTGGCACCTTTGTCAAAGTCCATTGGATGGGCTGGGCTTGGTGGCTCACACCTGCAATTCCAGCACTTTGGGAGGCCGAGGCGGGTGGATTACCTGAGGCCAGGAGTTCAAGATCAGTCTGGCCGACGTGATGAAACATCGTCTCCACTAAAAATATAAAAATTAGCTGAGCATGGTGGTCAGCACCTGTAATACCACTACTCAGGAGTTTGAGGCAAGAGAATGATTGAACCCAGGAGGCTGAGGTTGCAGTGAACTGAGATTGCACCTCTGCACTCCAGCCTGAGTGACAGAGCAAGACTCCATCTCAAAAGAAAAAATAAAAAACCATTGGATGTAAATGCATGGAATATATCTGTGTTATTCATTCTGCTCCATTGTTCTATGTGCCTTTCTTTATGCCAATGTCATGCTGTTTTGCTTACTACAGCTCTGTAACATATTTTGAGATCAGGTAGTGTGATGCTCCTGTTTTCTCTTTATACCTTGAAGTCTCAAGACAGTGGGCGTCACATACAAAAATTATGGAAAAAAGGATCCCAGGACTCCCAGGGCCCAATATTAGATAACAGAGTGTTGGCCATGAACCATCCTCAAAGATTTCCACTGAGTAGAGGACAGACACCCTCATTTCCTCACCTCTCTCCTGTCTCATATTCTAGGAAACCCTTCAAATAGTTGGCCTTCACCCACTGAACCAAGCTCCAAAACCGGTGAGTACAGAACCCTCTTATATCCGCTTTTGGAAACCTGGGGAGGTGGAAACCTTGGATTCAGGCGTTGACTCAGCATCTCACAGCTCTGACATTGTACCCCTGTCTTCCACCATCTCCGAACTCCAGATACTCCTACAGCGAAAGGGATCTGGGCCCAACACAGGGCTCAGTGAAATCTCTTCATCTCTCATTTTATGGAGCTGAGACCTCCTACAAGCTAGAAGAATGATTGCCAATCTGACATCCTTCTCAGGAAAAATGCAATGTTTGTTCTGCCTGCATTCCTAACTGGAGGATAAATTCCTGGAGACTTGAGAGAGGGAAGGGAAGGGAACATCTGATGAGGGCGAGGTGTTTTAGAGAAGTTCCACTTGCCAAGGAATGAGCTCCTATAGGTCATGAAGCAACCCTGGCTGACTCAGCAGAGAAAGAGCCTTGCTGTAACAGAGAACAGAGCTCATGCACGCACACTTCGACTCACTGACTCATTCAGCCACGGCCCCATGCTCAGGCTGTGCAGTGTGGAAGCTTTTCCTATTGTTGCCATAACAAATTTCCACAAGATTCGTGGGTGAAAACAAAACGGTTTTTTAATTATCTTGCAGTGCTGTAGCTCAAAGTATGAAGTGCATCTCACTGGGCTAAAATCAAGGTGACAGCAAGGCTGCCTTCCCTCTGAGGATTCCAGGCAAGAATCTGCTTCTCACTTTTCTCAGCTTCTAGAGGCTCCCACATTCCTTCGCTCCTGGTCCCCTTCCTCCTTCCTCAAAGCCCACAAAGGCTGGTCACATCTCACATGGCATCACTCAGACCCTTCTTCCTTACCACACCTCTTTCTCTGAATGCTGCTCTCCCTTCTTCCTCATCTTTTGAAAACTTGGGGATTCTATTGGGTTCACCAAGATGAAAATCCATCATAATCTCCCGGAAATCATTCAGGATACCCTTGTTTTAAGTTCAGCTGATTAGCAACCATAATTCCATCTGCAATCTTCATTCCTCCTTTCCATGTAAAATAAGATATTCACAAGCTATGGAGGCTAGGACAGGGACATTTTGGGGTGGGACAGCATTCTCCTACCTTCCACAAACAGTGAACAAGATGCATTTGGCCTCTGCTCTTGGGACACTGATATTGCAGATGGTTAAATGGGAGGGCAGAAAATGAATGCACAAGTGGACCAATAAATGAATGATCCATTGGGAAGCATCTGTGTATGAAATCTATTTGTTTGTTTCTTCATTTGTTTATTGAGACAGAGTCGCCCTCTGTCTTCCAGGCTACAGTGCAGTGTCACCATCTTGGCTCACTGCAACCTGCACCTTCTGGATCCAAGTGATTCTCCTGCGTCAGCCTCTCAAGTAGCTGGGATTACAGGCAACTGCCACCATGCCCGGCTAATTCTTTTTGTATATTTTTTGTAGAGGATGTTTCACCATCTTCGCCAAGCTTCTCTGAAACTCCCAACCTCAAGTGATCCGACCGTCTCAGCATCCTAAAGTACTGGGATAACTGGCGTGAGCCACTGTGCCCAGCCAGAATTTAAAATAAATAATACATAATGCTGAGTGTATGATTTTGGGTGACAGAGAAGATCTCACTAATCAGATATTTGTGACATTAATGAAAAACACGGATTGAACCCCTGAAAGATTGGTGGAAGGATTTTCCACACACAGCTGTCAGCCGTGAACGCACAAAGGTGAAAATAATCTGATGTTGAAGGAAGAGGCTCTTCCTCAAATGCTGGGAATGACGTGGGGAGAATGACAAGACGACTGTGGAGAGACGGAGAGCACACTGGGTACACAGGAAACTAAGGAGCAACAAGGAGTGTGTGTTTGACACTCACAGCCATTGGATTCACCTCGGGGTAGCCAGGAATCCCTACATGATTAATAGTGACTGACATGAAAATAAGGGAGGCCCAGGTGCGTAACTGGAATCTAGGAGACCGTGGAAAAGGCAATTCCCGCCTCACTGGTGAAATGTGGTGCTGATTTAGACCCTAACTGGGTGAAGCAGATGGATATAAGATATGCTTGTGAGGTGGAATCATTGGCTGGAAAGGCTTGCTGGGTATGATTTTCCTAGTTGTCTAATCCTCGCTTAATTTCTTTCTGAGCTTTATTCCTACTACACATAAATCAATACCTGGCAAAGGAGTGACAGATATATGAGGGGTGGTGGAAATGAAGGGACCTATTACAGCATAATATACAAGTCTGTGAACGGTGGCTCACGCCTGTAACCCAGCACTGCAGGAGGCCAAGGCGGGTGGATCACACGAAGTCAGCAGTTCGAGACCAGCCTGGCCAACATGGTGAAACCCTGTCTCTAGGAAAAACACAAAAATTAGCCGAACATGGTGGTGCATCCCTGTAATGCCAGCTCCTACTCTGGAGGATGAAGCAGGAGAATGACTTCAACCCAGGAGGTGGAGTTTGCAGTGAGTGGAGATTGCATCACTGCACTCCAGCCTGGGTGACACAAGGAGACTCCGTCTCAAAAAATAAAAATAAGAAATGCATAAATATAAATATAATATAACACACGCAAATGACAAAGGGACCTGAATTCCAATCATGATTTTTCTATTTCTCTATAATTACTTCTTTGATCCTTTATCTTATCCATTAGGCAATGAGCCTAAAACCTCTTCCCTATTTGGCTTTCTGTGAGCATGAGATCATATAGAAAATGTGAAAGCCCGCTGAATCCTCCAGCACAGATCCTGGAATACACAAAGTGCTCTGTTCATCACAAAAAAAACATGCCCTCTCACCCAAATCCCCCACCTCACCCCTACTTCCAATCATCTGTGGAGATTCAGATAGGCCATGGGGAGGTAAATTCTAATACTCCTTGGAGTGAGTCCAGATCTTGGAATCAGAGATCAGCGTCAGCACTAGCTCCTGCTCCCCTTTCCTACTAATTCACAGGAGGACAGGTGGTATTGAAGCAATAGATGGCCGAGGGTGTGGTCCTTCCCCCAGCCTCTGGGGTAGAACAGCAGCCTAACATGTGTCTCCTGAGATCACAAAGAGTAGCACGTTTCACATGGGCTTCAACACTATTTCCTGGCCATTTGACATAAGAGAATTCTACTTCGCTTTTTTTATCTTGATTTCACTTTTGTTTCCTTTTCTTGGAGAATGCAAGTTGTTTGACTCAAGAATGCCGTGGATGTATAAATCCTAAAGCACATTCGCTGTGTATCAATCCCAGTGCAGTCTTCCCAGAGAAGACTCTAAACACCTCCTGGACTGCACCTGGGCCTATGCCAATTCCTATCACTCACCGTCACTCCAGGAAGACAGAACACACAGAGAATACATTACACAGGCAGGTTCATTACTAACAGATAAGCAGCGAGTGACAACAGAAGCCTACATTTCAATGTGAGCCAGTCCCTCAAGGCTCAGAAAAGCTGCTCGGGACATATGGAGTCACCCCATTTGCAGTGTAGCTGGGGGAAGCCAGAAAGCAGCCCAGCCTGGGTTTTGTACCCTGGAGCCACAGGAAGCACTCAGCTAAAGCACTGCATGACGCCTTCCTCCAGGAAGAACAGGAAGACAGCCCAGGCTGTTCTGAGACATTCCTCCTGATCTCAGGACGTTGCTGTCGTAGTTTTTTTTTGTTGCTCTAAAGGAAAACTTGAGCCTCGGTAACTTCTAAAGAAAAGAGATCGGTTTGCCTCACCGTTCTGCAGGCTGTACTGGAAGCATGGCACCAGAATCTATTTCTTGTGACGGCCTCAGGCTGCTCCCACTCTGGCAGAAGGGAAGGAGGGTCTGTCTGTGCAGAGACCGCAGAGATCACACGGCAAGAGAGAGAGTAAGGGGGAGGGGGAGCGATGGAGCTTCCAAGCTCTTTTGAACAACCAGCTCTCCGGGAACTAATAGAGGGGGAACTTGCTAACCCCGTCTCCTTGGGACAGCATTGTTCTGTTCATGATGGATCCACCTCCATGACCCAAACACCTCCCAAGAGGCCCAACCTCCCACAGTGGGGGTGAAATTTCCATGTGAGGTTTGAAGGGGTCAGACATCTCAACTAAAGTAGTTGTATCCTCAGCACGTTCTATGGTTACTATGAGAGCTATAATTGAGAAAGCAGGGGAAAGCTAGGTCTCCCACCATTTGGGTGCTTGTCCTAAAGAGACGTTGTATGTGGTTACCTGTCAATCAAGAAATGCGAGACAATTCATAAAGAGGAACTGCTATGATTAGCTTCTTATTGGTGTCTCCTCTTCTTCCAGGTAACCCCAGACACCTACACGTTCTGATTGGGACCTCAGTGGTCAAACTCCCTTTCACCATCCTCCTCTTCTTTCTCCTTCATCGCTGGTGCTCCAACAAAAAAAGTAAGTCTCACGAAGCAGAGGCCAGAGAGCTCAGGGCCATGTGGGGAAGCAGGATGGTAGCACGCGGGTGTGTGTTCCTCACAGGCAGGATGGTCCCTGGCCCAAGGCAGGAGCCACAGAGGCAGGACTTTCTAGAGAGAGCACCAGATTCCCTTCCCCTGCCTTCAGCTCACAGACCATTGCCTGATTCTGAACTGTACCCTCACGTCCCCTGCAGCCACTCACATCCAGGAGAAGGTTCCATGACAGGCAGAAAGTGGGAGATAGAATCAATGGGATGGGAACTCAGAGCTATTCATGGGATGGGTCCTTGAGCTCAGAGAGATAGAATGTCTGAGTCTGCTGTTGGCAACTGAGGGACCTCAGGCACCTATGGCCTCCCCCTGTTTGTTGGTATCTGCTTATGAAATGAGGACCCAGAAGTGCCCTCCGAGCTGTTTTGTTGACTTCCATCTTCTACAGATGCATCTGTAATGGACCAAGGGCCTGCGGGGAACAGAACAGTGAACAGGGAGGTAGGTGCTCCTCGGCCCAGCCTCGTGGCTAGTCTTATTCCCAAAGAGTCCTGAAAAATGTGAGCACCCTCCCTCACTCAGCATTTCCCTCTCTCCAGGATTCTGATGAACAGGACCATCAGGAGGTGTCATACGCATAATTGGATCACTGTGTTTTCACACAGAGAAAAATCACTCCCCCTTCTCAGAGGCCCAAGACACCCCCAACAGATACCAGCATGTACATAGAACTTCCAAATGCTGAGTCCAGATCCAAAGCTGTCTTCTGTCCACGAGCACCACAGTCAGGCCTTGAGGGGATCTTCTAGGGAGACAACAGCCCTGTCTCAAAACCGGGTTGCCAGCTCCCATGTACCAGCAGCTGGAATCTGAAGGCATCAGTCTTCATCTTAGGGGATCGCTCTTCCTCAAACCACGAATCTGAACATGCCTCTCTCTTGCTTACAAATGTCTAAGGTCCCCACTGCCTGCTGGAGAGAAAACACACTCCTTTGCTTAGCCCACAATTCTCCATTTCACTTGACCCCTGCCCACCTCTCCAACCTAACTGGCTTACTTCCTAGTCTACTTGAGGCTGCAATCACACTGAGGAACTCACAATTCCAAACATACAAGAGGCTCCCTCTTAACACAGCACTTAGACACGTGCTGTTCCACCTTCTCTCATGCAGTTCCACCTCCCCTCAGACTATCTTTCAGCCTTCTGTCAGCAGTAAAACTTATAAATTGTTTTTAGTAATTTCAATGTAGTTTTCCCTCCTTCAAATAAACATGTCTGCCCTCATGGTTTCGGTAATGGGACTCTTTTCTTGCCTAAGGCTTCTGGTGTTATCATTACCATGTCCACATAACCCCATCTGTTCTCCACTGGGTTCTCACCCCTGGACTCTGAGCTTCTGGAACAGGGTGGACCCTGACTTGTCTCTGAGACTCCAATTTCCATCCAAAGATGCAGCACATAGGAAGTTCCAAGGATCGTGAATCACATGAACAAGTGATATTCTTACTCTCTGCAGACCTGGAAAGCTGGCAGAGTCATTCCATGATGAAACATTTGTAGAGTCATAGGCCTTGTTAGTCTCATCTCCACGGGGACACATGTCAACGCATCATCTTTCATACTATAAATATACAGTCGCTCCTCCGTATCTGTGGGGTTTACAGGTGTTTATTGAACCAAGTATAAATCAAAAATATTCAGAGAAAAAGCCCACAAAGTTCCAAAAAGCAAAACTGTGTTGAATGCACACAAATGAGGTGGTGTATAGGCTGTATCAGGAATTATAAGTAATCAAGAGATGATTTCATGTATACAGGAGGATGTGCATGGGTTATATCCAAATGCTGTGTCATTTTATGTAAGAGGCTTGAGCATCTGCAGATTTTAGTATCTGAGTGGAGATCCTGAAACCAATCACCCATGAATAGTGAAGGATGACGGTATAGGACTTTTATTTCTCAAATTTAAATATAAATCATAAAAAATGTACAATAACTAGATAAAAACTAAGAAGTGTTTTTATAGTGTGAGAATAAGTTTAGATTTATTATTTCCTATGTGTAACCCTTTGGTTTAATATTATTTATTGAGAAGACATTCTATGCCACCTTAAACCACACGGCAGCCTTTGTCAACTAAAAAGGGACTGTGTGTACACGGATGTGTATTTTAGACACTGTCTCTGCTAAACGGCTCTCTGTGTCCACATTCTTGAGGATGCTCCACTTTATGTAGCCCCATAGAACCCTTTAAATTTAGTAGCCAGAGGCCTCTAATTTGTTATTATAGGCTATTTGCTATTTTTATTTTCTTGAGGCGGAGTCTTGCTCTGTCGCCCAGGCTGGACTGCAGTGGTGCAATCTCAGCTCACTGCAACCTCCGCCTCCCAGGTTCAAGCGATTCTCGTGCCTCAGCCTCTTGGGTAGCTGGTGTTACAAGTTCCTGCCACTGGGCACGGCTAATTTTTGGATTTTTAGCAGAGACACGGTTTCACTGTGTTGCCAGGCTGCTCTCAAACTCCTTATATCAGTTGATCCGCCCACCTCGGCTTCCCGACGTGCTGGGGGAAACTTGATTTTCTATAGCATTATGTTACTGGATATTTCTGTAAAATTTAAAATGAGGGAGGGAGAGAGACAGAGAGAGAGCAAACTCCAGAGTTGGGACTCTGGAAACTTGGGTCATGAGACAAATTTTAGATAAATCTACAAAAATCCAGAGTTTAAATGTGTGGTTTTTGCTGATAACGTACAATTCAAAGATTGTAAATAATTGCATAATCCTTCCCTGGGAATTTAAATCATTTTAACTGGTTCTGCTGTAATACTAGAAATACAAGCATGAAAAATTCTAATGGTTTATTAGTCACAATGACTCTGAAAACCTTAATAATACCTATTAGATATTTTGCATATTACACAGGAAGAAGAGTTTGAATCTCAGATAAAAACAATAAAAATACATGAAAAGTCTTTCACGTTAGCACAGATTTTAGGCATCTCGTGTTCAGGAGGTTGGATCTGAGACGTGTTTTGAGTTGGTCATAGTGAAGGACGCTAGGTGTAAATTCTAGTGAGAACAATTTCCAGGAAGCCGTGTTCCGCTCTTGAGCGAGCAACCACTGGGCCTCATGCAAGGTAGAAAGAGCCTGCGTACGTCACCCTCCCATGATGTGGTCAACATGTAAACTGCATGGGCAGGGCGCCAAATAACATCCTGTGCGCTGCTGAGCTGAGCTGGGGCGCGGCCGCCTGTCTGCACCGGCAGCACCATGTCGCTCACGGTCGTCAGCATGGCGTGTGTTGGTGAGTCCTGGAAGGGAATAGAGGAAGGGAGTGTGGGGTTGGAGATCTGGG
This sequence comes from Homo sapiens, assembly GCF_000001405.40. Taxonomy (NCBI): domain Eukaryota; kingdom Metazoa; phylum Chordata; class Mammalia; order Primates; family Hominidae; genus Homo; species Homo sapiens. The sequence continues at coordinate 47,005 of NT_187641.1, read as the reverse complement.
CCCAGAGGTGGATATATAGGCCTGGAGGTGGAGTTGTGGGCCTGGAGTGGAGATCTGGGCCTGGAGTGGATATATGGGCCTAGAGATGGAGTGATGGGCCTAGAAGTGGAGATCTGGGCCCAGAGGTCGAGATATAGGCCTGGAGGTGGAGTGATGGGACTGTAGTGGAGATCTGGGCCTGGAGTGGAGATAGGAACCTGGAGGGGAGATAGGAACCTGGAGGGGAGATATGGGCCTGGAGGTGGAGATATGGGCCTGGAGTGGAGTCATGGGCCTGGAGGTGGAGTTACGGGCCTGCAGTAGAGATATGGGCCTGAAGTGGAGACATGGGCCTGGAGTGGAGATATGGGCCAGGAGTGGAGATATGGGCCTAGAGGTCGATATCTGGGCCTGGAGTGGAGATATGGGCCAGGAGTGGAGATATGGGCCTAGAGGTCGATATCTGGGCCTGGAGAGGAGATATGTGCCTAGGATGGAGATACGGGCCTGGGTGTGGAGATATGGGACTGGAGAGGATATATGGGCCTGGAGTGGAGATATGGGACTGGAGAGGAGATATGGACCTGGAGTGGAGATAAGGGCCTGGATTGGAGATATGGGCCCAGGGTGGAGATCTGAGCCTGGATTGGAGATATGGGCCTGGATTGGCGATATGGGCTTAGGGTGGAAATATCGGCCTGGAGTGGAGATATGGGCCTGGAGTGGAGATATGGGCTTGAGGTGGGGATATGGACCTGGAGGCTGGGTCTCTGCACAGCCGACAGCCCTGTTCTTGGGTGCAGGTAGGCACTGAGGGTGAGTTTACCTTCAGCCCAGGAAGGGCCTGGCTACCAAGACTCACAGCCCAGTGGGGGCAGCAAGGGTGCCCTGGTTTGCCTGCAGATGGGTCATCCATCATGATCTTTCTTTCCAGGGTTCTTCTTGCTGCAGGGGGCCTGGCCACATGAGGGTGAGTCCTTCTCCAAACCTTCGGGTGTCATCTCCCCACATAAGAGGATTTTCCTGAAATGGGAGGGAAGTCCTGTCAGGGAGTCTCTCATAAACTAGGAAGAAGGGACCCTGGGGTGCTGGGCCCACATTTCTGACCTTGCCTCCCTGGCCTTTCATTCCCTTGGCAGAGTCAAGTTCTGTGGGGACCAGGGTTAGACTATGGTGCTCAAAGCTGGGGTGTGTGGTGGGGAAGTGGTAGGAACAGCAGATCCTCTGAGGACAAAGGTGTTACTCACACACTTCAGCGTTTCCATGACGGTAGGGGCTGCAGTGTGGCTGCTGTCATTCTACCAGAAGAGGTGGGAAAACCACAGCCATGGCCCTGACATTCCAATCCTCTGATGGGGACTCAGTTGTTTATTTTCGTTCAGGCATCGGCTGATATTCCATTCTCAAAGGACATGCCCTCCACCCCATGTCTACCCTGTGTTGTTTTATGTGAGTAATCTTACAGTATTAAAATCTAGTAGGAGTCTCTTACTCAGCACTTGCTCAAAGTTCTCAGCTGACACTTTTGTTGTAGGGAGACACCTTGTGTTTGCGGGATGGGTTCTTCCTTTAGCCCTGGGCACCAAGGTGTGATAGCAGCCATAGAAACTTGGAAAGCGAGGAGAATCTTCAGAGCACAGGGAGGGAGGGGCGGCTCCACATCCTCCTCTCTAAGGCGGTGCCTCCTTCTCCCCACGGTGGTCAGGACAAGCCCTTGCTGTCTGCCTGGCCAAGCCCTGTGGTGCCTCCAGGATATGTGATTCTTCAGTGTCATTCTTATCTTGGGTTTAACAACTTCAGTCTGTAAAAGGAAGATGGGGTGCCTGTCCCTGAGCTCTACAACATAATATTCTGGAACAGCCTTTTCATGGGCCCTGTGACCCCAGCACACGCAGGGACCTATACATGTCGGGGTTCACAACCACACTACCCCAGTGGGTGGTCGGCACCCAGCAACCCCCTGGAGATCACGGTCACAGGTCAGAGGGCTCCTGTCTGGGATTCTCCTTGTCCCACCTCCTGAATCCCAGAGCTCCTGGTGGGCGTGTCCTTGCGGGTCCCATCATGCAAGTCCTGACTGTATTTGGGGTAAAGGGGGATTGAATACAGGGAAATGGGTGCTGTGGTGGGAAGAATAATTGTCCCCAGTGATGACTACATTCTAATCCCTGGAGTCTGTGACTATTTATGATATAGGGGAAGGGACTGAAGGAGAAGATGGAGCTCAGGTTGTTGATGAGTTGACCTTGAGATGGGGAGACAACCTGGACTGTCCTGATGGGCTCAGTGTAGTCACAGGGGTCCACAGGAAAGGAGGAGGAAGAGGGGAGTGGGGATTACAGCAGCATAATGGGAGTCTCCATCAGCTTTGAAGGTGGAGGAAGTCCAGGAGCCATGAATGCAGGTGGCCTATAGAGGCTGGAAAAGTCAAGGAACTGATTCTCCTGAGTCTCCAGAGGGAACGAAGCCCTGCAGGTACCTTGATTTTACCCACGACAAACAGGGTCCGATTTCTGTCTCCAGAATTGGAAGGGGTTAGTGTGCTCTCTCCTGCTGCCATGCTTCTGATAATTTTCTACAGCAGCAACAGGAAACCAACACTGGAACCCAGGTCAAGGACAAGTTAAGAAACAACACAAGGATAGCCAGGCATGGTGGCAGGTGCATGTAATCCTAGCGACTTGGGAGGCTGAGGGCAGGAGAATCACTTGAACCCAGGAGACAGAGGTTGCAGTAAGCCTAGACCACACCACTTCACTCCAGCCTGGGCAAAGGAGTGAGACTCTGTCGCCAAAATTAATTAATTAATTAAAGAAACCAAACAAGGAGAAGGTTGGCTACACTGAGATCAGCAAGGCTCGGATGATGATGCCACCACCAGGCTCCATCCACATAGGGAGCGGTTGATACTCCTCCAACCAGCACCAGGAGCCAGGCTATGGAAGCTGGCACTGGCATGGCAAGAGTGTCTCCCAGTCCCTACCAGGAACAGGGTGTGTGGCCACTGGTGCCTGCCTTACTGATCAGTTCATACCTCCTGCCAAGGATTCCAATTCGTCCAAAAGAGATTGAACCAGGCTGCTAAGAGCCTGGATGTGCAGCCTATCCTGGTTCCTCTTCCACCCCCACACAGACAGCAGGAAAGACATTAGTTCGAAATAGATACAACAGCCCAAGAGATGAGGCTGAGCCCAGCGGCAAGGGAATCAGAGGCTACTAGAGACAGAGGGACAGAGAAGAGTGAGGGAGACAGATGGAAGGACCTGCACCAGGAGTTATGGGCACAGAAAAGAACATGAAGACACAGAGAGGAAGGAGAGAGATAAGACACCAGGAAGGGGAAGCCTGACTCAATCCAGGTGCCATGGATGGGATGATAAAGAGAGACACCTTCTAAACTCACAACCTCTCTTCCTAGGAGTCCACAGAAAACCTTCCCTCCTGGCCCACCCAGGTCGCCTGGTGAAATCAGAAGAGACAGTCATCCTGCAATGTTGGTCAGATGTCATGTTTGAACACTTCCTTCTGCACAGAGAGGGGATGTTTAACGACACTTTGCGCCTCATTGGAGAACACCATGATGGGGTCTCCAAGGCCAACTTCTCCATCAGTCGCATGAAGCAAGACCTGGCAGGGACCTACAGATGCTACGGTTCTGTTACTCACTCCCCCTATCAGTTGTCAGCTCCCAGTGACCCTCTGGACATCGTGATCATAGGTGAGAGTGTCCAGACTTTCTTCTCATTGTCATTGGGATGCAGAGTGAATGATCCAGGACTTGGAGGCCCAGGTGGCTGTAAGGAAGATGAGCTTGGTATTCTTATGGAGAGAGACTGACTTGGTGAGGTCTGTGCCAACAGAGACAGAGAAACAGGAGACACAAGTAGAGACCAGGTGTCATAACAGAGAACAGACACAGGGGCCATACCGGGAGTTTGAAAAGACAGAAAGAGTTAAAGGAAACACACAGACAGACATGTCCCAGAGAGAGGTGTCCCTCCATGCTGACTTTGCTCAGAGACCTGGCACAGGTTAGAAGTTTCATTTCTGTTTTACCTCCACAAAGTGTTCTCTACCAGGAGAACCCAAGGACACCCATATTTCTGACCTGAGTTGGGCCCTGTGGCCTCAGGCCTTGTGGCACCTACAGATGCCATGTTTATTCTGACACCTCTGCCTTCCATGTAATGGAGAGTAATCGTCCCAGGATATCATGGCCCCACAACACCAACCCCTGTATGCTGTGTGAACTTGTAGTCTCCAGACTGGATTCTGAGGCTCATATTCCAAATAAGCCCACTTATGAGAGGATCAGTGAGAGGCACAGAGAGAAATCAGGGACACCAAAAAGCAAAGACATAAACACACAGAGAATGAGCCAGAGGAAGGAGATTGAGAGACTCACAGACACATAAAGAGAAAAGAGGGCAGAGAAGTGAGAATGATGGAAGGGAGCAGAGAAAAGCACTAAAATTAGACTCCTGAGGGAGAGGCACAAGGACATTGAAAGATGGAGATGTGGGGATGAATTGCAGAGATTCCAAAGAGAACTAGAGAGACCGAGAGGCAGAGCAAGACAGATGATAGATGGATAGATATAGATAGATGATAAATAGGTAGATGATAGATAATAGGTTATAGATACATAGATGATGATTGATTGATTCATTAATAGATGAGACATAGAGATGATGATGATGAAGACAGATAGATAGATAATACATAGAGATACAGAGGCAGACATAGAGAAATCATAGAGAGAGAGAGATGATACATAGATATAGATAATAGATGATTGATGGATAGATAGACAATTGATGGATAAATAGATGATATATAGATATAGATGACAGGTAGAGAATTTGTAGATAGGCACCGAATAGATAAATAGATAGATCGATAGATAATAGATAGAAATATGCAGAAAGTTATGAACAGGACACAAAGTGAGAAACTCAGAATTAAAAAAAGTAACATCAAGTCAACCAATCCAAGGAGAGTCAGAGAGAATAAAACAATCCAAAAAGAGAAAACATATCTAGAGGTGGGGAAGTGAGGTCAGAGACCTAAAGAGACAGAGAAGGTGGAAGGAGGAAATAGACATGAAGAGCGATGGGGTAGAGGGTGAGAGAGAGAGAGAGAGAGCATTAGGTCATAGAGCAGGGGAGTGAGTTCTCAGCTCAGGTGAAGGGAGCTGTGACAAGGAAGATCCTCCCTGAGGAAACTGCCTCTTCTCCTTCCAGGTCTATATGAGAAACCTTCTCTCTCAGCCCAGCCGGGCCCCACGGTTCTGGCAGGAGAGAATGTGACCTTGTCCTGCAGCTCCCGGAGCTCCTATGACATGTACCATCTATCCAGGGAAGGGGAGGCCCATGAACGTAGGCTCCCTGCAGGGACCAAGGTCAACGGAACATTCCAGGCCAACTTTCCTCTGGGCCCTGCCACCCATGGAGGGACCTACAGATGCTTCGGCTCTTTCCGTGACTCTCCATACGAGTGGTCAAAGTCAAGTGACCCACTGCTTGTTTCTGTCACAGGTGAGGAAAGCCCATGGCTGTCCCATGTCCTATGATCCTAGAGCCTTAGCTGAGGAGCTTCCTGCTGATGATGGAGAGAAGCATGGACAGATGCAGAGAGAAGACGCAGCCTCGGTGTGAGGGAGGGATCAGGGCACAGGATGGCCGACAGGGCACCTCCAAACCCTCCTACATGGCCTGCATGGAGGCCCACGGCCAGGGCTCCAGGCACCCAGGCAGATGGAGAAAGCGGTCAGGAGAGACCCAGAGGAGGGAGACTGGGCTCAGTTTGGGGAGATCAGAGGTTCCCTCAGCCCCTCAACCTTACCCATTTCCCAGAAGCCCATCCTGGACTCTCACCCACACAGAGATGTCATCACCAGCAACCCCTACACCCTTTACTTTTCTTTGAAGAAATATTTATTGAGGATAAATATACCTATATAGCTTACCACTTTTAACATTTTTTTTTGAGGTGGAGTCTAGCTGTGTCCCCTATGCTGGAGTGCAGTGGCACAATCTCAGCTCACTGCAACCTCCACCTCCTGGGTTCAAGCGATTCTCCTGCCTCAGCCACCTGAGTAGCTGGTGCTACAGGCACGCACCACCACGCCAGGCTACTTTTTGTATTTTTAGTAGGGAGGTGGTTTCACCATGTTGGTCGAGCTGGTCTCGAACTCCTGACCAAGTGATCCACCCGCATCTGCCTCCCAAAGTGCTGGGATTACAGGCATGGGCCACCGCGCCCAGCCACATTTACCATTTTTAAGTGTAAAGTCTAGTGGTCATAAATACATTTATATACATATATATATATATACATTTTTTTTACCCTCCACCCTTTTCTTCCTGTCCTCCAGTAGCCACCATTCTACTCTCTACCTTCATGAGATCCACCTTTTAGCTCCTGTATATGGGTGAGAAATGGGAATCTTTGTAATGACCTCCAGTTCCATCCATGTGGCTGCAAATGACAGGATGTTATTCTTTCTATGGATGAGTAGTCTCCACTATGCGTATGTACTACATTCTCTCTATCCATTTACCCACTGATGGGCAGGTAGGTTGACTCCTCATCTTGGCTACTGTGAACAGTGCTGCACCAATCATACGAGTGCAGATATCACTTCGATATATTGATTTACTTTCCTTTGGATATAAACCCAGTAGTGAAATTGCTGGATACTATGAAAGTTCTCTTTTTTTCTTTTTTTCTTTTTTGAGAAAGAGTTTCCCTCCTTAGCCCAAGCTGGAGTCAAAGTGGTGCGACCTTGGCTCATTGCAACCTACGCCTCCTGGGTTCAAATGATTTTCCTGCCTCAGCCTCCCTAGTAGCTGGGATTACAGGTGCACACCACCATGCCTGGCTACTTTTTGGTTTTTTTAGTATAGATGGGGTTTCCCCATGTTGGCTGGGCTGCTCTCAAACTCATGACCTCAACTGAGGTGCCCGCCTCAGTCTCCCAAAGTGCCGGGATTACAGGCATGATCCACCGCACCCAACCTCTTTTTAGTTCTTTAAAGGACTTCCATACTTTTCTCCGTAATGGCTGTACTAATTTACACTCCTCCCAACAGGGTACCAGGGTTCTCCTTTCTCTACCACCTTGCCAGCATTTCTTTTGCCTGTCTTGCAGCTAAAAGCCATTTTATTTTATTTCATTTTATTTTGAGATGGAGTTTTGCTCTTCTCACCCAGGCTGGAGTGCAGTGGCGCGATCTCGGCTCACCACAACCTCCACCTCCCAGGTTCAAGCGATTCTCCTGCCTCAGCCTCCCGAGTAGCTGGAATTACAGGCACACGCCACCACGCCCGACTAATTTTTGTATTTTTAGTAGAGACAGTGTTTCTCTATGTGGGTCATACTGGTCTCAAACTCCCGACCTTATGAGATTCACCCACCTCAGGCTCTCAAAGTTCTAGGATGACAAACGTGAGCCACCTCACCCGGCCTAAAAGCCATTTTAATGGGGTGAGATGAAAACTCACTTTGAATTTAATTTGCGTTTCTCTGATGATGAGTGATACTGAGCAGTTTTTCGTATGTGGGGAAATTTCATGTCTTTTGCTCCTTTTTCAATTAAATCATTTGTTTTATTGAGTTGTTTGAGCTTCTTATATTTCTAGTTATTAATCCCATCTCAGATGCATAGTTTGCACATATTTGCTCCCAATCTGTGGGTTGTCTCTTCACTTTGTTGGTTTATTTTTAGCGGTGCAGAAGTTGCTTAGTATGAGGTAATCCCAATGGTCTATTTTTGCTTCGATTACTTGTGTTTTCAAGGTTTAAAACAAAATGTCTTTCTTCAGACAAATGTCCTGGAGCATTTCCCCAATATTTTGTTCTACGTGTTTCATAGGTTCAGGCCTTAGACTCACATCTTTAATCCATTTTCATTTGATTTTTGTGTATGGTGACAGGTAGAGGTGCAGTTTCATTCCTCTGCATGTAGATGTCCAGGTTTCCCTGCACTGTTTATTGAAAAGACTGTCCTTTCCTGATTGTGAGTTCTTGGCATCTTTGTCAAAGTCCATTGGATGGGCTGGGCTTGGTGGCTAACACCTGCAATTTCAGCACTTTGGGAGCCCGAGGTGGGTGGATCACCTGAGGCCAGGAGTTCAAGATTAGTCTGGCCGACGTGATGAAACATCATCTCCACTAAAAATATAAAAATTAGCTGAGCATGGTGGTCAGCACCTGTAATACCACTACTCAGGAGTTTGAGGCAAGAGAATGATTGAACCCAGGAGGCTGAGGTTGCAGTGAACCGAGATTGCACCTTTGCACTCCAGCCTGAGTGACAGAGCAAGACTCCATCTCAAAAGAAAAAATAAAAAACCATTGGATGTAAATGCATGGAATATATCTGTGTTATTCATTCTGCTCCGTTGTTCTATGTGCCTTTCTTTATGCCAGTGTCATGCTATTTTGCTTACTACAGCTCTGTAACATATTTTGAGATCAGGTAGTGTGATGCTCCTGTTTTCTCTTTATACCTTGAAGTCTCAAGACAGTGGGTGTCACATAAAAAAATTATGGAAAAAAGGATCCCAGGACTCCCAGGGCCCAATATTAGATAACAGAGTGTTGGCCATGAACCATCCTCAAAGATTTCCACTGAGTGGAGGACAGAAACCCTCATTTCCTCACCTCTCTCCTGTCTCATGTTCTAGGAAACCCTTCAAATAGTTGGCCTTCACCCACTGAACCAAGCTCCGAAACCGGTGAGTACAGAACCCTCTTATATCCGCTTTTGGAAACCTGGGGAGGTGGAAACCTTGGATTCAGGCGTTGACTCAGCATCTCACAGCTCTGACATTGTACACCTGTCTTCCACCATCTCCGAACTCCAGATACTCCTACAGCGAAAGGGATCTGGGCCCAACACAGGGCTCAGTGAAATCTCTTCATCTCTCATTTTATGGAGCTGAGACCTCCTACAAGCTAGAAGAATGATTGCCAATCTGACATCCTTCTCAGGAAAAATGCAATGTTTGTTCTGCCTGCATTCCTAACTGGAGGATAAATTCCTGGAGACTTGAGAGAGGGAAGGGAAGGGAACATCTGATGAGGGCGAGGTGTTTTAGAGAAGTTCCACTTGCCAAGGAATGAGCTCCTGTAGGTCATGAAGCAACCCTGGCTGACTCAGCAGAGCAAGAGCCTTGCCGTAACAGAGAACAGAGCTCATGCACACACACTTCGACTCACTGACTCATTCAGCCACGGCCCCATGCTCAGGCTGTGCAGTGCGGAACCTTTTCCTATTGTTGCCATAACAAATTTCCACAAGATTCGTGGGTGAAAACAAAACGGTTTTTTAATTATCTTACAGTGCTGTAGCTCAAAGTAGGAAGTGCATCTTACTGGGCTAAAATCAAGGTGACAGCAAGGCTGCCTTCCCTCTGAGGATTCCAGGCACGAATCTGCTTCTCACTTGTCCCAGCTTCTAAAGGCTCCCAGTTCCTTGGCTCCTGGTCCCCTTCCTCCTTCCTCAAAGCCCACAAAGACTGGTCACATCTCACATGGCATCACTCAGTGCCTTCTTCCTTACCACACTTCTTTCTCTGAATGCTGCTCTCCCTTCTTCCTCATCTTTTGAAAACTTGGGGATTCTATTGGGTTCACCAAGATGAAAATCCCTCATAATCTCCTGGAAATCATCCAGGATACCCTTGTTTTAAGTTCAGCTGATTAGTAACCATAATTCCATCTGCAATCTTCATTCCTCCTTTCCATGTAAAATAACATATTCACAAGCTATGGAGGCTAGGACAGGGACATTTTGGGGTGGGACAGCATTCTCCTGCCTTCCACAAACAGTGAACAAGATGCATTTGGCCTCTGCCCTTGGGACACTGATATTGCAGATGGTTAAATGGGAGGGCAGAAAATGAATGCACAAGTGGATCTATAAATGAATGATCCATTGGGAAGCATCTGTGCATGAAATCTATTTTTTGTTTGTTCTTTTGTTTATTGAGACAGAGTTGCCCTCTGTCTTCCAGGCTACAGTGCAGTGTCACGATCTTGGCTCACTGCAACCTGCTTCTCCTGGATTCAAGTGATTCTCCTGCCTCCGCCTCTCGAGTAGCTGGGATTACAGGCAACTGCCACCGTGCCCGGCTAATTCTTTTTGTATATTTTTTGTAGAGAGGATGTTTCACCACGTTGGCCAAGCTTGTCTGAAACTCCCAACCTCAAGTGATCCGACCGTCTCAGCATGCCAAAGTAATGGGACTACAGGCGTGAGCCACTGTGCCCAGCCAGAATTCAAAATCAATAATAGATAATGCTGAGTGTATGATTTCAGGTGACAAAGAAGGTCTCACTATTCAGATATTTGTGACATTAATGAAAAACACGGATTGAACCCCTGAAAGATTGGCGGAAGGATTTTGCACACACAGCTGTCAGCCGTGAAGGCACAAAGGTGAAAACAATCTGATGTGGAAGGAAGAGGCTCTTCCTCAAATGCTGGGAATGAGGTGGGGAGAATGACAAGACGACTGTGGAGAGACGGAGAGCACACTGGGTACACAGGAAACTAAGGAGCAACAAGGAGTGTGTGTTTGACACTCACAGCCATTGGATTCACCTCGGGGTAACCAGGAATCCCTACATGATTAATATGACTGACATGAAAATAAAGGAGGCCCAGGGGCGTAACTGGAATCTAGGAGACCGTGGAAAAGGCAATTCCCGACCCACTGGTGAAATGTGGTGCTGATTTTGACACTAAGTGGATGAAGCAGATGGATATAAGCTATGCTTGTGAGGTAGAATCATTGGCTGGAAAGGCTTGCTGGGTTTGATTTTCCTACTTGTTTAATCCTCGCTTAATTAATTTCTTTCTGAGATTTATTCATCCTACACATAAATCAATACCTGGCAAAGGAGTGACAGATATATGAGGGGTGGTGGAAATGAAGAGACCTATTATAGCGTAATATACAAGTCTGTGAACGGTGGCTCACGCTTGTAACCCAGCACTGCAGGAGGCCAAGGCGGGTGGATTCCATGAAGTCAGGAGTTCCAGACCAGCCTGGCCAACATGGTGAAACCCTATCTGTACTAAAAATACAAAAATTAGCCGAGCATGGTGGTGCATCCCTGTAATCCCAGCTCCTACTCTGGAGGATGAAGCAGGAGAATGACTTCAACCCAGGAGGTGGAGGTTGCAGTGAGTGGAGATTGCATCACTGCACTCCAGCCTGGGTGACACAAGGAGACTCCGTCTCAAAAAATAAAAATAAGAAATGCATAAATATAATAAAACACACACGAATGACAAAGGCACCTGAATTCCAATCATCATTTTTCTATTTCTCTATAATTACTTCTTTGATCCTTTATCTTATCCATTAGGCAATGAGCCTAAAACCTCTTCCCTATTTGGCTTTCTGTGAGCATGAGATCACATAGAAAATGTGAAAGCCCGCTGAATCCTCCAGCACGGATCCTGGAATAGAGAAAGTGCTCTGTTCATCGCAAAAAAAAACTTGCCCACTCACCCAAATCCCCCACCTCACCCCTACTTCCAATCACCTGTGGAGATTCAGATAGACCATGGGGAGGAAACATTAATACTCCTTGGAGTGAGTCCAGATCTTGGAATCAGAGATCAGCGACAGCACTAGCTCCTGTTCCCCTTTCCTACTAATTCACAGGAGGACAGGTGGTATTGAAGCAATAGATGGTGGAGGGGGTGGTCCTTCCCCCAGCCTCTCGGGTAGAACAGCAGCCTAACATGTGTCTCCCGAGATCACAAAGAGCAGCACATTTCACACGGGCTTCAACACTATTTTCTGGCTGTTTGACATAAGAGAATCTTGCTTCGCTATTTTTAATCGTGATTTCACCTTTGTTTCCTTTCCTTGGTGAATGCAATTTGTTTGACTCAAGAATGCTGTGGATGTAGAAATCCTAAAGCACATTCGCTGTGTATCAATCCCAGTGCAGTCTTCCCAGAGAAGACTCTAAACAAATCCTGGACTGCACCTGGGCCTATGCCAATTCCTATCACTCACCGTCACTCCAGGGAGACAGAACACACAGAGAATACGTTACATAGGCAGGTTCATTACTAACAGATAAGCAGTGAGTGACAACAGAAGCCTGCATTTCAATGTGAGCCAGTCCCTCAAGGCTCAGAAAAGCTGCTCGGGACATATGGAGTCACCCCATTTGCAGTGTAACTGGGGGAAGCCAGAAAGCAGCCCAGCCTGGGTTTTGTACCCTGGAGCCACAGGAAGCACTCAGCTAAAGCACTGCATGACGTCCTCCTCCAGGAAGAACAGGAAGACAGCCCAGGCTGTTCTGAGACATTCCTCCTGATCTCAGGATGTTGCTATCTTAGTCCATTTTTGTTGCTCTAAAGGAACACTTGAGCCTGGGTAACTTCTAAAGAAAAGAGATTGGTTTGCCTCACAGTTCTGCAGGCTGTACTGGAAGCATGGCACCAGAATCTATTTCTCGTGATGGCCTCAGGCTGCTCCCACTCTGGCAGAAGGGAAGGAGGGTCTGTCTGTGCAGAGACCGCAGAGATCACACGGCAAGAGAGAGAGTAAGGGGGAGAGGGAGCGATGGAGCTTCCAAGCTCTTTTTAACAACCAGCTCTCCAGGAACTAACAGAGGGGGAACTTGCTAACCCCGTCTCCTTGGGACAGCATTGGTCTGTTCATGATGGATCCACCTCCATGACCCAAACACCTCTGAAGAGGCCCAACCTCCCACAATGGGGGTGAAATTTCAATGTGAGGTTTGAAAGGGTCAAACATCTCAACTAAAGTAGTTGTATCCTCAGCACGTTCTATGGTTACTATGAGAGCTATAATTGAGAAAGCAGGGGAAAGCTAGGTCTCCCGCCATTTGGGTGCTTGTCCTAAAGAGACGTTGTATGTGGTTACCTGCCAATCAAGAAATGCGAGACAATTCATAAAGAGGAACTGCTATGATTAGCTTCTTATTGGTGTCTCCTCTTCTTCCAGGTAACCCCAGACACCTACATGTTCTGATTGGGACCTCAGTGGTCAAAATCCCTTTCACCATCCTCCTCTTCTTTCTCCTTCATCGCTGGTGCTCCGACAAAAAAAGTAAGTCTCACGAAGCAGAGGCCAGAGAGCTCAGGGCCATGTGGGGAAGCAGGATGGGAGCACGCGGATGTGTGTTCCTCACCAGCAGGATGGTCCCTGGCCCAAGACAGGAGCCACAGAGGCAGGACTTTCTAGAGAGAGCACCAGATTCCCTTCCCCTGCCTTCAGCTCACAGACCATTGCCTGATTCTGAACTGTATCCTCACGTCCCCTGCAGCCACTCACATCCAGGAGAAGGTTCCATGACAGGCAGAAAGTGGGAGATAGAATCAATGGGATGGGACCTCAGAGCTATTCATGGGATGGGTCCTTGAACTCAGAGAGATAGAATGTCTGAGTCTGCTGTTGGCAACTGAGGGACCTCAGGCACCTATGGCCTCCCCCTGTTTGTTGGTATCTGCTTATGAAATGAGGACCCAGAAGTGCCCTCCGAGCTCTTTTGTTGACTTCCGTCTTCTACAGATGCTGCTGTAATGGACCAAGAGCCTGCAGGGAACAGAACAGTGAACAGCGAGGTAGGTGCTCCTCGGCCCAGCCTCGTGGCTAGTCTTATTCCCAAAGAGTCCTGAAAAATGTGAGCACCCTCCCTCACTCAGCATTTCCCTCTCTCCAGGATTCTGATGAACAAGACCATCAGGAGGTGTCATACGCATAATTGGATCACTGTGTTTTCACACAGAGAAAAATCACTCGCCCTTCTGAGAGGCCCAAGACACCCCCAACAGATACCAGCATGTACATAGAACTTCCAAATGCTGAGCCCAGATCCAAAGTTGTCTTCTGTCCACGAGCACCACAGTCAGGCCTTGAGGGGATCTTCTAGGGAGACAACAGCCCTGTCTCAAAACCGGGTTGCCAGCTCCCATGTACCAGCAGCTGGAATCTGAAGGCATCAGTCTTCATCTTAGGGCATCGCTCTTCCTCACACCACGAATCTGAACATGCCTCTCTCTTGCTTACAAATGTCTAAGGTCCCCACTGCCTGCTGGAGAGAAAACACACTCCTTTGCTTAGCCCACAATTCTCCATTTCACTTGACCCCTGCCCACCTCTCCAACCTAACTGGCTTACTTCCTAGTCTACCTGAGGCTGCAATCACACTGAGGAACTCACAATTCCAAACATACAAGAGGCTGCCTCTTAACACAGCACTTAGACACGTGCTGTTCCACCTCCCTTCAGACTATCTTTCAGCCTTCTGCCAGCAGTAAAACTTATAAATTTTTTAAATAATTTCAATGTAGTTTTCCCGCCTTCAAATAAACATGTCTGCCCTCATGGTTTCGGTAACGAGACTCTTTTCTTGCCTAAGGCTTCCGGTGTTATCATTACCATGTCCACATAACCCCATCTGTTCTCCATTGGGTTCTCAGCCCTGGACTCTGAGCTTCTGGAAGCAGAATGGAGCCTGATTTGTCTCTGAGACTCCAATTTCCATCCAAAGATACAGCACATAGGAGGCTCCAAGGATCGTGAATCACATGAACAAGTGATATTCTTACTCTCTGCAGACCTGGAAAGCTGGCAGAGTCATTCCACGATGAAACATTTGTAGAGTCATAGGCCTTGTTAGCCTCATCTCCACGGGGACACATATCAACATATCATCTTTCATAATATAAATATACAGTCGGTCCTCCATATCTGTGGGGTTTACAGGTGTTTATTGAACCAACAATAAATCAAAAATGTTTTCAGAAAAAAATCCCCGAAGTTTCAAGAAGCAAAAAACTATGTTGAATCGACACAAATTGAGTGGCGTGTAGGCTGTGTCAGGAATTATAAGTAATCAAGAGATGATTTCATGTATACAGGAGGATGTGCATGGGTTCTATGCAATTACTATGCTATTTTTTTTTTTTGAGACAGTCTCACTCTCTCACCCAGGCTGGAGTGCAGTGGCATGATCTCAGCTCACTGCAACCTCCGCCTCCCAGGTTCAAGCGATTGTCTTCCCTCAGCCTCCCCAGTAGCCTCCCCTAGGATTACAGGCACGTGCCACCATGCACAGATAAATTTTTTTGTGTGTGTATTTTTAGTAGAGATGGGGTTTCAGAATGTTGGACCAGCTGGTCTTGAACTCCTGACCTCGTGATCTACCCAACTCAGCCTCCCAAAGTGCTGGGATTACAGGCGTGAGCCACGGTGCCCAGCTTCGCTATGCCATTTCATGCAAGGGGCTTGAGCATCTGCAGATTTTGGTATCTGAATGGGGATCCTGGAACCAATCACCCAGGAATAGTGAAGGACCACAGTATATAATTTTTATTTGTCAATCTTAAAAATAAAGCATAAAAAGTTTACAACAACAAGATAAAAAATAAGAAGTGTTTTTATAGTGTGAGGATAAGTTTAGATTTATTTTTTCCTACGTGTAACCCTATGGTCCTGTGTTATTTATTGAGAAAATATTCTATTCCACCTTAAACTACATGGCAGCCTTTGTCAACTATGAAGGGACTGTGTATCCACAGATGTATTTTAGACACAGTTTTCTGCCCAGTGGTTCTCTGTATCCCCTCTCATGAGGATGCTGCATTTCATATAAACTTATAGAACCCCTTAAAATTTGGTAACCTGAGTTCTCTGATTTGTTATTATAGGTTATTTAGTTTGCTTTTTTTTTTCTTTCTTGAGACAGACTCTTCCTCTGTCACCCAAGCTGGAGTTCAGTGGCTTGAGCTCAGCTCACTGCAGCCTCCGCCTCCCAGGTTCAAGCAATTCTCGTGCCTCAGGTTTAGTACTAGAAACTCATCAGGAAAATTAGAATGGCTTTTTGTCACAATTACTCTGATAATGTTAATAATACCTCTTAGATATTTTGCACATTACACATGAAGAAAAGTTTGAATCTCAGATAAAAACAAAAATACATCAAAAGTCTTTAATGTAAGCACAGAATTCAATCACCTCATGTGTGAGAGGTTGGATCTGAGACGTCTTTTGAGTCTGGTCATAGTGAAGGATGCAAGGTGGCAATTGTAGTCACAACAATTTCCAGGAAGCCATGTTCCGCTCTTGAGCGAGCACCCACTGGGCCTCATGCAAGGTAGAAAGAGCCTGCGTACGTCACCCTCCCATGATGTGGTCAACATGTAAACTGCATGGGCAGGGCGCCAAATAACATCCTGTGCGCTGCTGAGCTGAGCTGGGGCGCGGCCTCCTGTCTGCACCGGCAGCACCATGTCGCTCACTGTCGTCAGCATGGCGTGCGTTGGTGAGTCCTGGAAGGGAATAGAGGGAGGGAGAGTGGGGATGGAGATCTCGGCCTAGAGGTAAAGATATGGGCCTGGAGTGGAGATATGGGCCTGGAGTGGAGATATGGGCCTGGGTGTGGAGATATGGGCCTGGAGGTGTAAATATGGGCCTGGAGTGGAGATATGGGCCTGGAGGGGAGATATGGGCCTGGGTGTGGAGATATGGGCCTGGAGTGGAGATACGGGCCTGGAGTGGAGATATGGGCCTGGAGTGGAGATATGGGCCTGCAGGTGGAGATCTGGGCCTGGAGTGGAGATATGGGCCTGGAGTGGAGATATGGGTCTGATGTGGAGATATGGGCCTGGAGTGGAGATATGGGCCTGGAGTGGAGATATGGGCCTAGAGGGGAGATCTGGGCCTGGAGTGGAGATATGGGTCTGATGTGGAGATATGGGCCTGGAGTGGAGATATGGGTCTGATGTGGAGATATGGGCCTGGAGTGGAGATAGGGGCCTGGAGTGGAGATATGGGCCTGGAGTGGAGATCTGGGCCAGGAAGTGTTGATCTGGGCCTGGAGCCTGGGTCTCTCCACAGCTGAGAGCCCTGTTCTTGGCAGCAGGTAGCAGGGAGGCTAAGTTTACCTTCAGCCCAGCAAGGGCCTGGCTGCCAAGACACACAGTGCAGTGGGGGCAGCAGGGTGCCCTGGTTTGCCTGCAGTTGGATCGTCTATCATGATCTTTCTTTCCAGGGTTCTTCTTGCTGCAGGGGGCCTGGCCACTCATGGGTGAGTCCTTCCCCAAACCTTAGGGTGTCATCTCCCCACATAAGAGGATTTTTCTGAAACAGGAGGGAAGTCCTGTCGGGGAGTCTCTCATAAACTAGGAAGAGGGGACCCTTGGATACTCGGCCCACATTTCTGACCTCGCCCTCCCCGGCCTTTCTTTCCCTTTCCTGAGTCAAGCTCTGTGAAGACTGGGGTGAGACTGGGGTGCTCCAAGCTGGGGTGTGCAGGGAGGAAGTGGTGTCAGCAGCAGAGAAAGAGAGGGAAGCAGTGCTAGGAACAGCAGGTCCTCTGAGGACAAAGGTATAACTGACACCCTCCAGCGTTTCCGTGACGGTAGGGACTGCAGTGTGGCTGCGGTCTTTCTACCAGAAGAGGGGGGAAACCACAGCCATGGCCCTGACATTCCAAATCCTCTGAGGGGGCTCAGTTCATGAATTGGCTGATATTCCATTCACATAGGACATGCCCTCCATGCCGTGTCTACTTTGTGTTGTTTTATGTGAGTAATTTTGCAGTATTAAAATCTAGTAAGAGTCACTTATTCAGCACTTGCTCAAAGTTCTCAGCTGACACTTGTTGTAGGGAGACGCCATGTCTATGTGGGGTGGGTCCTTCCTGTAGCCCTGGGCACCCAGGTGTGGTAGGAGCCTTAGAAAGTGGAAATGGGAGAATCTTCTGAGCACAGGGAGGGAGGGGTGGCTCCACATCCTCCTCTCTAAGGCAGTGCCTCCTTCTCCCCCAGGTGGTCAGGACAAACCCTTCCTGTCTGCCCGGCCCAGCACTGTGGTGCCTCGAGGAGGACACGTGGCTCTTCAGTGTCACTATCGTCGTGGGTTTAACAATTTCATGCTGTACAAAGAAGACAGAAGCCACGTTCCCATCTTCCACGGCAGAATATTCCAGGAGAGCTTCATCATGGGCCCTGTGACCCCAGCACATGCAGGGACCTACAGATGTCGGGGTTCACGCCCACACTCCCTCACTGGGTGGTCGACACCCAGCAACCCCCTGGTGATCATGGTCACAGGTCAGAGGCTTTCTGTCTGGGCTTCTCACTGTCCCACCTCCTGAATCCCAGAGCTTCTGGTGGGGGTGTCCATCAGGGTCCCATCACCCAGGCCCCAACTGTATTTGGGGTCAAGGGGGATTGAATACAGGGGAAATGGGCGCTGTGGTGGGAAGAATCACTGTCG
Source organism: Homo sapiens (assembly GCF_000001405.40). NCBI lineage: Eukaryota > Metazoa > Chordata > Mammalia > Primates > Hominidae > Homo > Homo sapiens. Next base: position 28,741 of record NT_187641.1, on the reverse strand, counting down.
CCAATGATGGCTACATTGTAAACCCTGGAGCCTGTGACTATTTATGTTATAGGGCAGGGGACTGAAGGGGAAGGTGGAGCTCAGGTTGTTGATGAGTTGACCTTGAGATGGGGAGACAGCCTGGACTGTCCTGCTGGGCTCAGTGTAATCACAAGGGTCCGCGTGAGAGGTGGAGGAAGAGGGGAGTGGGGATTAGAGCAGTGTAGTGGGAGGGAGACGCTATCAGCCACTGTGGGCTTTGAAGGTGGAGGAAGGCCACTAGTCACAGAATGCAGGTGGCCTCTAAGGGCTGGAGAAGTCAAGAGAACTGATTCGCTGAGTCTCCAGAGGGAACGCAGCCCTGCAGATGCCTTGATTTCAGCACAGGGAGAACTGGATCCAATTTCTGTCCCCAGAAGTGGAAGGGGTCAGTGTGTTCTCTCCTGCTGCCATGTTTGTGATAATTTTCTGCAGCAGCAACAGGAAACCGACACAGGAACCCAGGTCAAGGACAAGCTAGGAAACCAAACAAGGATAGCCAGGTGTGGTGGTGGGCACGAGTAATCCAACGACTGGGGAGGCTGAGGCAAGAGAATCACTTGAACCGGGGAGGCAGAGGTTGCAGTGAGCCAAGACAACACCACTGCACTCCAGCCTGGGTGAAAAAGTGACTGTCTCAAAAATAAATTAATTAATCAATTAATTAAAGAAACCAAACAAGGAGAAGGTTGGCTACCGTGGGATCAGCAAGGGTGGGATGCTGATGCCACCACCAGGCTCCATCCACATAGGAAGGGGTTGATGCTCCTGGAACCAGCACCAGGGACCACCCTATGGAAGCTGGGGCCATGGAGAAGGCACAGACATGGCAGGAGAGGCTCCCAATCCCCATCAGGAACAGGGTGTGTGGACACTGATGTCTGCCTTACTGATGAGTTGATACCTCTGCCAGAGACTCCAATTTGTTCAAAAGAGATTGATTCAGGCTGCTGAGAGCCTGGACATGCAGCCTGTCCTCTTCCACCCCCACATAGACAGCAGGAAAGAGACTAGTGGGAAAGAGATACAACAGCCCAAGAGATGAGGCTCTCTTCACAGTGGGAAGGGAGTCAGGGGCTACTGGAGACAGAGGGACAGAGAAGAGGGAGGAAGACAAATGGAGGGACCTGCACCAGGGGATATGGGCACAGAAAAGACACGGAGACACAGAGAGGGAGGAGAGAGACAGACCTCTGGGAGGGGAACCCTCACTCATTCCAGGTGCCATGGATGGGATGATAAAGAGAGATGCCTTCTAAACTCACAACTTCTCTTTCTAGGAAACCACAGAAAACCTTCCCTCCTGGCCCACCCAGGGCCCCTGCTGAAATCAGGAGAGACAGTCATCCTGCAATGTTGGTCAGATGTCATGTTTGAGCACTTCTTTCTGCACAGAGAGGGGATCTCTGAGGACCCCTCACGCCTCGTTGGACAGATCCATGATGGGGTCTCCAAGGCCAACTTCTCCATCGGTCCCTTGATGCCTGTCCTTGCAGGAACCTACAGATGTTATGGTTCTGTTCCTCACTCCCCCTATCAGTTGTCAGCTCCCAGTGACCCCCTGGACATCGTGATCACAGGTGAGAGTGTCCAGACATTCTTCTCATTGTCATTGGGACACAGAGTGAATGATCCAGGACTTGGAACCCCCAGGTGGTCATGAGGAAGATAAGCGTGAGATTCTTATGGAGAGAGACTGACTCGGTGAGGTCTGTACCAACAGAGACAGGGAAACAGGAGACATAAGTACAGACCAGGTGTCATAACAGAGGACAGACACAGGGGCCATACGGGGAAGTAGAAAAGAGAGAAAGAGGTAAAGGAGACACTCAGACAGACAGACATGTGCCAGAGAGAAGTGTCCTTCCATGCTGACTTTGCTCAGAGACCTGGCACAGGTTAGAAGTTTCATTTCTGTTTTGTCTCCACAAAGTGCTTCTACGAGGAGAACCCAAGGACACCCATATTTCTGACCTGAGTTGGGCCCTGTGGCCTCAGGCCTTGTGGCATCTACAGATGCCATGTTTATTCTGACACCTCTGCCTTCCATGCAGTGGAGCCATAATTATCCCAGGATATCATGGCCCCAGAACACCAACCCCTAAATACTGTGTGTACTTGGTGTCCCCAGACTAGATTCTGAGGCTCATATTCCAAATAATCCTACATATAATAGGATCACTGAGAGACACAGAGATAAATCAGGGACTTCAAAAAGCAAAGGCATAAACACACAGAGAATGAGCCAGAGGAAGGGGATTGAGAGACTCACAGACACACAAAAAGAAAGAAAAGAGGGCAGAGGAGTGGAGAGAATGCTGGAAGGGAGGAGAGAAAAGCCCCAAAATCAGAACCCTGAGGGAGGGGCACAAAGACAGAGAAAGATAAAGATGTGGGGATGGATTGCAGAGATTCCAAATAGAACTAGAGAGACTGAGAGGCAGAGAAAGACAAGGAGATGGAGAGAGACAGATGATAGATGGATAGATAGATATAGATAGATGATAAATAGGTAGATGATAGATAATGGATAGGTTATAGATACATAGATGATGATTGATAGATGATACATAGAGATGATGATGATGATGATGATGAAGATAGATAGATAGAAGACACATATATAAATATATAGATACATAGATGATACATAGAGACTGACAGGCAGACAGAGAGGTAATAGAGAGAGAGAGAGATGATACATAGATACAGATAATACATAGATGATTGATGGATAGACAGATAGACAATTGATAGATAAATGATACATAGATATAGATGACAGATAATTTGTAGATAGACACAAAATAGATAGATAGATAATAGATAGAAATATGCAGAAAGTTATGAACAAGACAGAAAGTGAGAGACTCAGAATTATAGAAAAAGGAAGATCAAGTCAACCAATCCAAGGAGAGTCAGAGAGAATAAAACAATCCAAAAAGGGAAAGCATACCCAGGGGTGGGGAAGTGAGGTCAGAGACCTAGAGAGACAGAGAAGGCGGAAGGAGGAAATAGACATGAAGAGAGTTGGGGTGGAGGGTGAGAGAGAGAGAGAGCATTAGGTCATAGAGCAGGGGAGTGAGTTCTCAGCTCAGGTATGAGGGGAGCTGTGACAAGGAAGAACCTCCCTGAGGAAACTGCCTCTTCTCCTTCCAGGTCTATATGAGAAACCTTCTCTCTCAGCCCAGCCGGGCCCCACGGTTCAGGCAGGAGAGAACGTGACCTTGTCCTGTAGCTCCTGGAGCTCCTATGACATCTACCATCTGTCCAGGGAAGGGGAGGCCCATGAACGTAGGCTCCGTGCAGTGCCCAAGGTCAACAGAACATTCCAGGCAGACTTTCCTCTGGGCCCTGCCACCCACGGAGGGACCTACAGATGCTTCGGCTCTTTCCGTGCCCTGCCCTGCGTGTGGTCAAACTCAAGTGACCCACTGCTTGTTTCTGTCACAGGTGAGGAAAACCCGTGTCTGTCCCATGTCTTATGATCCTAGAGCCATAGCTGAGGAGCTTCCTGCCGATGATGGGGAGAAGCATGGACAGATGCAGAGAGAACACGAAGACTGGGTGTGAAGGGGGGGTCAGGGTGCAGGATGGCAGACAGGGCACCTCCAAACCCTCTTGCATGGCCTGCATGGAGGCCCATGGTCAGGGCTCCAGGCACCCAGGCAGATGGAGAAAGCGGTCAGGACAGACCCAGAGAAGGGGAGACTGGGCTCAGTTTGGGGAGATCAGAGGTTCCCTCAGCCCCTCAACCTTACCCATTTCCCAGAAGCCCATCCTGGCCTCTCACCCACACAGAGAGATGTCATCACCAGCAACCCCTACACTCTTTTCTTTTCATTTTCAAAAATATTTATTGAGGTTAAATGTAACTATATAATTTACCAACTTTACCATTTTTAAAAGTAAAATCTAGTGGTCATAAATACCTTTATATGCTGGGTGTGGTGGTTCACGGTTGTAATCTTGGCGCTTTGAGAGGCCAAGAAAGGTGGATCATTTAAGATCAGGGACTCGAGATCAGCCTGGCCAACATGCGGGAAATTCATCTTTACTAAACAGACAAGAAAAATTAGCCAAGCATGCCGGCATGCACCTGTAGTCCTAGCTACTTGGGAGGCTGAGGCAGGAGAAGCACTTAAAGCCAGGAGGCAGAGGTTGCACTGAGCCGAGATCATGCCACTGCACTGCAGCCTGGGAGACAGAGAGAGACTCTGTTTCTAAATAAATAAATACATCTATATTCTTTTTTTTGTTACCCTCCACCCTTCCCTTCCTGGCCTCTGGTATCCACCATTCTATTCTCTACCTTCATGAGATCCACCTTTTATCTCCTGCATGTGGTGAGAAATGGGAATCTTTGTAATGACCTCCAGTTCCATCCATGTGGCTGCAAATGACAGGATGTTATTGTTTCTATGGATGAGTAGTCTCCACCGTGTGTGTGTACTACAGTTCTCTATCCATTCACCCACTGATAGGCAGGTAGGTTGACTCCACATCTTGGCTACTGTGAACAGTGCTGGAACAGTCATATGAGTGCAGATATCACTTCGATACACTGATGTCCTTTCCTTTGGATATAAACCCAGTAGTGAAATTGCTGGACACTATGAAAGTTCTCTTTTTTTTTTTTCTTTTTTGAGAAAGAGTTTCCCTCCTTAGTCCAAGCTGGAGTCAAAGTGGTGCGATCTTGGCTCATTGCAACCTCTGCTTCCTAGGTTCAAACGATTCTCCTGACTCAGCCTCCCTAATAGCTGTGATTACAGGTGCACGCCACCATGCCTGACTAATTCTTGTATTTTTTAGCACAGACGGGATATCCCAATTTTGGGCAGGCTGCTCTCAAACTCCTGACCTCAAGTGAGGTGCCTGCCTCGGTTTCCCAAAGTGCTGAAGTTACAGGCATAAGCCACTATGCCCAGCCTCCTTTTAGTTTTTTAAAGTTTTTCCATACTTTTCTCCATAATAGTTGTACTAATTTACATTCCTACCAACAGGGTACCAGGGTTCTCCTTTCTCTACCATCTTGCCAGCATTTGTTTTGCCTGTCTTGCAGATAAAAGCCATTTTACTTTATTTATTTATTTATTTATTTATGTTGAGATGGAGTTTCACTCATAGTCGCCCAGGCTGGAGTGCAAGGGTGTGATCTCGGCTCACTGCAACCTCTGCCTCCCGCGTTCAACTGATTCTCCTGCCTCAGCCTCCAAAGTAGCTGGGATTACAGGCATGTGCCACCACGCCTAGCTAATTTTTGTATGTTTAGTAGAGAGGGAGTTTCTCCATGTTGGTCAGGCTGGTCTCCCGACCTCAGGTGATCCGCCCACCTCCGCCTCCCAAAGTGCTGGAATTACAGGCGTGAGCCACCGGCCTAAAAGGCATTTTAATGGGATGAGATGAAAACTCATCGCGATTGTAATTTACATTTCTGTGATGATGAGTGATGCTGAGCACTTTTTCATATACGTGATCGCCATTTCTATGTTTTGTTTGTGGAGAAATGTCTCCTCATGTCTTTTGCTCGTTTTTTAATTAAATTGTTTTATTGAGTTGTTTGAGCTTCTTATATTTCCAGTTATTAATCCCATCTCAGATGAATAGTTTGCAAATATTTGCTCCTATTTTGTGGGTTGTCTCTTCACTTTGTTGGTTTATCTTTGGTGGTGCAGAAGTTGCTTGGTTTGATGTAATCCTAATGGTCTATTTTTTGCTTTGATTACTTGTGTTTTGAAGGTTTTAAACAAAATGTCTTTCGTCAGACAAATGTCTTCCCCATTATTTTCTTCTACATGTTTCATAGGTTCAGGCCTTAGACTCATGTTTTTAATCCATTTTCATTTGATTTTTGTGTAAGGTGACAGGTATAGATGCAGTTTTATTCCTCTGCATGTAGATATCCAGTTTTCCCCACACCATTTATTGAAGACTGTCCTTTCTTGATTGTAAGTTCTCGGCACCTTTGTCAAAGTCCATTAAATGGGCTGGGCATGGTGGCTCACACCTGCAATTCCAGCACTTTGGGAGGCCGAGGCGGGTGGATCACCTAAAGCCAGGAGTTCAAGACCAGGCTGGCCAACAGAGTGAAACCTCGTCTCTACTAAAAATACAAAAATTAGCTGAGCATGGTGATCAGTGCCTGTAATACCACTACTCAGGAGTTTGAAGCAAGAGAATTTCTTGAATCCAGGAAGTGGAGGTTGCATTGAGCTGAGATTGCACCTCTACACTCCAGCCTGCATGACAGAGCAAGATTCCATCACACACACACAAAAGAAAGCCATTGGATGTAAATGCATGGATTATATCTGTGTTCTCCATTCTGTTCCATTTTTTATGTGCCTTTCTTTATGCCAATGTCATGCTGTTTTGCTTACTACAGCTCTGTAACATATTTCTAAGTCAGGTAGTGTGATGCTCCTGTTTTCTCTTTATACCTTCAAGTCTCAAGACAGTGGGCATCGCACACAAAAATTATGGAGAAAAGGATCCCAAGACTCCCAGGGTCCAACATTAGATAACAGAGTGTTGGCCATGAACCAACCTCAAAGATTTCCATTGAGTAGAGGACAAGCACCCTCATTTCCTCACATCTCTCCTGTCCCGTGTTCTAGGAAACCCTTCAAGTAGTTGGCCTTCACCCACAGAACCAAGCTCCAAATCTGGTGAGTAAAGGACCCCTCTTATCTCTGCTTTTGGAAACCTGGGGAGGTGGAAGCCTTGGATGCAAGTGTTGGCTCAAACCTCCCAGCTCTGTGAATGAGGGCCTGTCTTCCACCATCTCTGAACTCCAGACACTCCAACAGTGAAAGGGATCTAGGGCCACCAAAGGGCTCAGCGAAGTCTCTTTACCTTTAATTTCCTGCAGGTGAGACCTCCTACAAGCTAGAAGAATAATTGCCAATCTGACATCCTTCTCAGGAAAAATGCAGTGTTTTTTCTGCCTGCATTCCTAACTGGAGGATAAATTCCCGGGGGCTTGAGAGAGGGAAGGGAAGGGAACATCTGATGAGGGTGGGTGTTTTAGAGAAGTTCCACTTGCCAAGGAATGAATTACTGTTGGTCATCAGGCAACCCTGGCTGACTCAGCAGAGCAAGAGCCTTGCCGTAACAGAGAACAGAGCTCATGCACGCACACTTCGACTCACTGACTCATTCAGCCACAGCCCCATGCTCAGGCTGTGCAGTGTGGAAGCTTTTCCTATTGTTGCCATAACAAATTTCCACAAGATTCGTGGGTGAAAACAAAACGGTTATTTAATTATCTTACAGTGCTGTAGCTCAAAGCATGACGTGCATGTCACTGGGCTAAAATCAAGGTGACAGCAAGGCTGCCTTCCCTCTGAGGGTTCCAGGCAAGAATCTGCTTCTCACTTTTCTCAGCTTCTAGAGGCTCCCATGTTCCTTGGCTCCTGGTACCCTTCCTCCTTCCTCAAAGCCCACAAAGACTGGTCACATCTCACATGGCATCACTCAGACCCTTCTTCCTTACCACACCTCTTTCTCTGAATGCTGCTCTCCCTTCTTCCCCTTCTTTTGAAAACTTGGGGATTCTATTGGGTTCACCAAGATGAAAATCCATCATAATCTCCCGGAAATCATCCAGGATACCCTCCTTTTAAGTTCAGCTGACTAGCAACCATAATTCCATCTGCAATCTTCATTCCTCCTTTCATGTAAAATAACATATTCACAAGCTATGGAGGCTAGGACATGGACATTTTTGGGGTGGGACAACATTCTCCTGCCTTCCACAAACAGTGAACAAGATGCATTTGGCCTCTGTTCTTGGGACACTGATCTTGCAGATGGTTAAATGGGAGGGCAGAAAATGTAGGCACAAGGGGACCAATAAATGAATGATCTATTGAGAAGCATCTGTGCATGAAATCTATTTATTTATGTATTTACCTACTTGTTTATTGAGACGGAGCCTTGCTCTGTCGTCCAGGCTAGAGTGCGGTGGCATGATCTCGGCTCACTGCAACCTCCACCTCCTGGGCTGAACGGATCTCCTCCCTCAGCCTCTCCAGTAGCTGGGATTACAGACCACAACCACCACGCCCGGCTAACTCTTTTTGCATATTTTCTGTAGAGAGGATGTTTCACCATGTTGGCCAGGCTGGTCTCAAATTCCCAACCTCAGGTGATCCAATAGCCTCTGCCTCCCAACACGCTGGGATAAGAGGCATGAGCCACGGGGCCAAGCCAAATTTTCAAATCAATAATAGATAATGCTGAGTGTATGATTTCAGGTGACAGAGAAGTTCTCACTAATCAGATATTTGTGACATTAATGAAAAACACGGATTGAACCCCTGAAAGATGGGCGGAAGGATTTTGCACACACAGCTGTCAGCCGTGAAGGCACAAAGGTGAAAATAATCTGATGTTGAAGGAAGAGGCTCTGCCTCAAATGCTGGGAATGACGTGGGGAGAATGACAAGACGACTGTAGAGAGACGGAGAGCACACTGGGTACACAGGAAACTAAGGAGCAACAAGGAGTGTGTGTTTGACACTCACAGCCATTGGACTCACCTCGGGGTAACCAGGAATCCCTACATGATTAATATGACTGACATGAAAATAAGGGAGGCCCAGGTGCGTAACTGGAATCTAGGAGACCGTGGAAAAGGCAATTCCCGCCCCACTGGTGAAATGTGGTGCTGATTTAGACACTAAATGAATGAAGTAGATGGATATAAGATATGTTTGTGAGGTAGAATCATTGGCTGGAAAGGCTTGCTGGGTTTGATTTTTTCCTGGTAGTTTAATCCTCGCTTCACTAACTTATTTCTGAGATTTATTTCTCCTGCATCTAAATCAATACCTGGCAGAGGAGGGAGAGCTAGATGAGGGGTGGTGCAAATGAAGGGACCTAGTATAGCATAATATACAAGGCTGTGAACGGTGGCTCACGCCTGTAACCCAGCACTTCAGGAGGCCAACGCGGGTGGATCACATGAAGTCAGGAGTTCGAGACCAGCCTGGCCAACATGGAGAAACCCTATCTCTACTAAAAATACAAAAATTAAACAGGCATGATGGTGGTGCATGACTGTAATCCCAGCTACTCTGGAGGAGGAAGCAGGAGAATGACTTCAGCCCTGGAGGCAGAGGTTGCAGTGAGTGGAGATCGCGTCACTGCACACCAGCCTGGGCTACACAGGGATACTCTGGCTCAAAAAATAAAAATAAAAAATACATAAATATAATAATATACACAAATGATGCAGGCACCTGAATTCCAATCATCATTTTTCTATTTCTCTATAATTACTTCTTTGATCCTTTATCTTATCCATTAGAAAATCAGCCTAAAACCTCTTCCATATTTGGCTTTCTGTGAACATGAGATCATATGGAAAATATGAAAGCCCCCTGAACCCACCAGCACAGGCCCTGAAATAGGGAAAGTGCTCTGTTCATCACAAGAAACTTGCCCCCTCACCCAAATCCCCCACCTCACCCCTACTTCCAATCACCTGTGGAGATACAGATAGATCATGGGGAGGTAAACGCTAATACTCCTTGGAGTGAGTTCAGATCTTGGAATCAGAGATCAGCACCAGCACTAGCTCCTGCTCCCCTTTCCTACTAATTCACAGGAGGACAGGTGGTTTTGAAGCAATAGATGGTGGAGGGGGTGGTCTTTCCCCCAGCCTCTCAGGTGGAACAGCAGCCTAACATGTGTCTCGCGAGATCACAAAGAGTAGCACGTTTCACATGGGCTTCATCATTATTTCCTGGCTGTTTGACATAAGAGAATTCTACTTTGCTTTTTTGATCTTGATTTCACTTTTGTGTCCTTTTCTTGGAGAATGTAATTTGAGTCAAGAGGGTTGTGGATGTAGAAACTGTAAAGCACATTCACTGTGTATCAATCCCAGTTCAGTCTTTCCAGAGAAGACTCTAAACACCTGCTGTACTGCACCTGGGCCTATGCAAATTTCTATCACTCACCGTCACTCCAGGGAGACAGAACACACAGAGAATACGTTACATAGGCAGGTTCATTACTAACAGATAAGCAGCGAGTGACAACAGAAGCCTACATTTCAATGTGAGCCAGTCCCTCAAGGCTCAGAAAAGCTTCTCGGGACATATGGAGTCACCTCATTTGCAGTGTATCTGGGGGAAGCCAGAAAATAGCCCAGCCTGGGTTTCGTACCCTGAAGCCACAGGAAGCACTCAGCTAAAGCACTGCATGACGTCCTCCTCCAGGAAGAACAGGAAGACAGCACAGGCTGTTCTGAGACGTTCCTCCTGATCTCAGGACGTTGCTGTCTTAGTCCATTTTTGTTGCTATAAAAGAACACTTGAGCCTGGGTTACTTCTTTTTTTTTTTTTTTTTTTGTATAGTGCTTCTGATGAGCTTTTTTTTTAAATTTTTATTATTATTATACTTTAAGTTTTAGGGTACATGTGCACAATGTGCAGGTTAGTTACATATGTATACATGTGCCATGCTGGTGTGCTGCACCCATCAACTCGTCATTTAGCATTAGGTATATCTCCTAATGCTATCCCTCCCCCCTCCCCCCACCCAACAACAGTCCCCAGAGTGTGATGTTCCCCTTCCTGTGTCCATGTGTTCTCATTGTTCAATTCCCACCTATAAGTGAGAACATGCAGTGTTTGGATTTTTGTCCTTGTGATAGTCTACTGAGAATGATGATTTCCAATTTCATCCATGTCCCTGCAAAGGACATGAACTCATCATTTTTTATGGCTGCATAGTATTCCATGGTGTATATGTGCCACATTTTCTTCATCCAGTCTATCATTGTTGGACATTTGGGTTGGTTCCAAGTCTTTGCTATTGTGAATAGTGCCACAATAAACATACGTGTCCATGTGTCTTTATAGCAGCATGATTTATAGTCCTTTGGGTTTATACCCAGTAATGGGATGGCTGGGTCAAATGGTATTTCAAGCTCTAGATCCCTGAGGAATCGCCACACTGACTTCCACAATGGTTGAACTAGTTTACAGTCCCACCAACAGTGTAAAAGTGTTCCTATTTCTCCACATCCTCTCCAGCACCTGTTGTTTCCCGACTTTTTAATGATCGCCATTCTAACTGGTGTGAGATGGTATCTCATTGTGGTTTTGATTTGCATTTCTCTGATGGCCAGTCATGGTGAGCATTTTTTCATGTGTTTTTTGGCTGCATAAATGTCTTCTTTTGAGAAGTGTCTGTTCATGTCCTTTGCCCACTTTTTGATAGGATTGTTTGTTTTTTTCTTGTAAATTTGTTTGAGTTCATTGTAGATTCTGGATATTAGCCCTTTGTCAGATGAGTAGGTTGCGAAAATTTTCTCCCATTTTGTAGGTTGTCTGTTCACTCTGATGGTAGTTTCTTTTGCTGTGCAGAAGCTCTTTAGTTTAATTAGATCCCGTTTGTCAATTTTGGCTTTTGTTGCCGTTGCTTTTGGTGTTTTAGACATGAAGTCCTTGTCCATGCCTATGTCCTGAATGGTAATGCCTAGGTTTTCTTCTAGGGTTTTTATGGTTTTAGGTCTAACGTTTAAGTCTTTAATCCATCTCAAATTAATTTTTGTATAAGGTGTAAGGAAGGGATCCAGTTTCAGCTTTCTACCTATGGCTAGCCAGTTTTCCCAGCACCATTTATTAAATAGGGAATCCTTTCCCCATTGCTTGTTTTTCTCAGGTGTGTCAAAGATCACATAGTTGTAGATATGTGGCATTATTTCTGAGGGCTCTATTCTGTTCCATTGATCTATATCTCTGTTTTGGTACCAGTACCATGCTGTTTTGGTTACTGTAGCCTTGTAGTATAGTTTGAAGTCAGGCAGCATGATGCCTCCAGCTTTGTTCTTTTGGCTTAGGATTGACTTGGCAATGCAGGCTCTTTTTTGATTCCATATGAACTTTAAGGTAGTTTTTTCCAATTCTGTGAAGAAAGTCATTGGTAGCTTGATGGGGATGGCATTGAATCTATAAATTACCTTGGGCAGTATGGCCATTTTCACGATCTTGATTCTTCCTACCCATGAGCATGGAATGTTCTTCCATTTGTTTGTATCCTCTTTTATTTCATTGAGCAGTGGTTTGTAGTTCTCCTTGAAGAGGTCCTTCATATCCCTTGTAAGTTGGATTCCTAGGTATTTTATTCTCTTTGAAGCAATTGTGAATGGGAGTTCACTCATGATTTGGCTCTCTGTTTGTCTGTTATTGGTGTATAAGAATGCTTGTGATTTTTGTACATTGATTCTGTATCCTGAGACTTTGTAGAAGCTGCTTATCAGCTTAAGGAGATTTTGGGCTGAGACAATGGGGTTTTCTAGATATACAATCATGTCATCTGCAAACAGGGACAATTTGACTTCCTCTTTTCCTAATTCAATACCCTTTATTTCCTTCTCCTGCCTAATTGCCCTGGCCAGAACTTCCAACACTATGTTGAATAGGAGTGGTGAAAGAGGGCATCCCTGTCTTGTGCCAGTTTTCAAAGGGAATGCTTCCAGTTTTTGCCCATTCAGTATGATACTGGCTGTGGGTTTGTTATAGATGGCTCTTATTATTTTGAGATACGTCCCATCAATGCCTAATTTATTGAGAGTTTTTAGCATGAAGTGTTGTTGAATTTTGTCAAAGGCCTTTTCTGCATCTATTGAGATAATCGTCCGGTTTTTGTCTTTGGTTCTGTTTATATGATGGATTACATTTATTGATTTGCATATATTGAACCAGCCTTGCATCCCAGAGCCTGGGCAACTTCTAGAGAAAACAGATTTGTTTGCCTCACAGTTCTGCAGGCTGTACTGGAAGCATGGCACCAGCATCTGTTTCCTGTGACGGCCTCAGGCTGCTCCCACTCTGGCAGAAGGGAAGGAGGGTCTGTCTGTGCAGAGACCACAGAGATCACATGGCAAGAGAGGGAGCAAGGGGGAGGGCGAGCGATGGAGCTTCCAAGCTCTTTTTAACAACCAGCCCTCCGGGAACTAATAGAGGGGGAACTTGCTAACCCCATCATGTGGGGCAGCATTAATCTATTCATGATGGATCCACCTCCATGACTCAAACACCTTCCCATAGGCCCAAACTTCCACACTGGGGGTTAAATTTCAATATTTCAGTGTGAGGTTTCAAAGGGTCAAACATCTAAACTAAAGCAGCTGTATCCTCAGCATGTTCTATGGTTTCTATGAGAGCTGTAACTGAGAAAGCAGGAGAAAGCTGGGTCTCCCGCCATCAGGCTGCTTGTCCTAAGGAGATGTTCCATGTGGTTACCTGTCAATCAAGAAATGAGACAATCCATAAAGAGGAACTGCTATGATTAGCTTCTTATTGGATTCCCATCTTCCTCCAGGTATCTGCAGACACCTGCATGTTCTGATTGGGACCTCAGTGGTCATCTTCCTCTTCATCCTCCTCCTCTTCTTTCTCCTTTATCGCTGGTGCTCCAACAAAAAGAGTAAGTCTCACGAAGCAGAGGCCAGAGAGCTCAGGGCCATGTGGGGAAGCAGGATGGGAGCACGCGGGTGTGTGTTCCTCACTGGCAGGATGGTCCCTGGCCCAAGGGAGGAGCCACAGAGGCAGGGCTTTCTAGAGAGAGCACCAGACAACCTGCCCCTGCCTTCAGCTCACAGACCATTGCCTGGTTCTGAACTGTATCCTCACATCCCCTGCAGCCACTGACATCCAGAAGCTTCCATGACAGGCAGAAAGTGGGAGACAGAATCAATGGGATGCCAATTGAGAGCACTTCATGGGATGGGGTCTTGAACTCAGAGAGATAGAATGTCTGAGTCTGGATGTTGGCAGCTGAAGAGCCTCAGGCACCTACAGCCTCCCCCTGTGGGTTGGTGTCTGCCCATGAAATGAGGACCCAGAAGGGCCCTCCAAGCGGTTTTGATGACTTCCGTCTCCTACAGATGCTGCTGTAATGGACCAAGAGCCTGCGGGGGACAGAACAGTGAATAGGCAGGTAGGTCCTCCTCGGCCCAGCCTCACGGATACAGTCTTATCCCTAATAGTCCTGAAAAATGTGAGCACCCTCCCTCACTCAGCATTTCCCTCTCTCCAGGACTCTGATGAACAAGACCCTCAGGAGGTGATGTACGCACAGTTGGATCACTGCGTTTTCATACAGAGAAAAATCAGTCGCCCTTCTCAGAGGCCCAAGACACCCCTAACAGATACCAGCGTGTACACGGAACTTCCAAATGCTGAGCCCAGATCCAAAGTTGTCTCCTGCCCACGAGCACCACAGTCAGGTCTTGAGGGGGTTTTCTAGGGAGACAACAGCCCTGTCTCAAAACCAGGTTGCCAGATCCAATGAACCAGCAGCTGGAATCTGAAGGCATCAGTCTGCATCTTAGGGGATCGCTCTTCCTCACACCACGAATCTGAACATGCCTCTCTCTTGCTTACAAATGCCTAAGGTCGCCACTGCCTGCTGCAGAGAAAACACACTCCTTTGCTTAGCCCACAAGTATCTATTTCACTTGACCCCTGCCCACCTCTCCAACCTAACTGGCTTACTTCCTAGTCCTACTTGAGGCTGCAATCACACTGAGGAACTCACAATTCCAAACATGCAAGAGGCTCCCTCTTAACACGGCACTTACACACTTGCTGTTCCACCTTCCCTCATGCTGTTCCACCTCCCCTCAGACTATCTTTCAGCCTTCTGTCATCAGTAAAATTTATAAATTTTTTTTATAACTTCAGTGTAGCTCTCTCCTCTTCAAATAAACATGTCTGCCCTCATGGTTTCGATAATGTGACTCTTTATTCGCCAAAAGTTTCCAGTGTTATCATTACTATGTCCATATAACCTGATATGTTCTCTACTGGGTTCTCAGCCCTGGACTCTGAGCTTCTGGAAGCAGGGTGGAGCCTCATTTGTCTCTGGGACTCCAATTTCCATCCAAAGATGCAGCACATAGGAGGTTCCAAGGATCGTGAATCACATGAACAAGTGATATTCTTACTCTCTGCAGACCTGGAAAGCTGGCAGAGTCATTCCAAGATGAAACATTTGTAGAGTCATAGGCCTTGTTAGTCTCATCTCCACAGGGACACATGTCAACACATCATCTTTCATACTATAAATATACAGTCGCTCCTCCATATCTGTGGGGTTTACAGGTGTTTATTGAACCAAATATAAATCAAAAATATTCAGAGAAAAAATCCACAAAGTTCCAAAAAGCAAAAATACTATATTGTGTGGACACAAGTGAGGTGGTGTGTAGGCTGTATCAGGAATTATAAGTAATCTAGAGATGATTTCATGTATACAGGAGGATGTGCATGGGTTATATGCAAACGCTGTGCCATTTCATGCAACAGGCTTGAGCATCTGCAGATTTTGGTGTCTGGTAGGGAGGGGGGTTTCCTGGAACCAATCACCCATGAATAGTGAAGGACTACTGTATATAATTTTCATTCATCAATTTTATAAATAAATCATCAAAATGTATGATAATAAGATAAAAAATTAGCAGTGTTTTTATGGTGTGAAAATAAGCTTAGATTTATTTTTTCCTGCTTGTAACCCTCTGGTCCAATGTTATTTACTGAGAAGACATTCTATTCCACCTTAATCCGCATGGCAGCCTCTGTCAACTATAAAAGGACTGTGTGTACACAGATGTATTTTACACACTCTTTTCTGCTCAGTGGCTCTCTGTGTCCACTCTCATGAGGATGCTGCACTTTATGTGGCCTTATAGAACCCCTTAAAATTTGGCAGCCTGAATCCTCTAATTTCTCCTTCCTCTTTAAGATTGCCATTATTATTATTATTGGCTATTTGCTTTTCCATGTAAATTTGTAATCATTTTTCTCATTTCCACCAAAAACAATGCTTGTAATTTTGTTGTGACTCCCTTACATCTACAGGTAAGTTCTGTCCTATAGAAACATAATGCAAACCACATGCATTCTTTCAAACTTGCTAGTATCCAAATTAAAAAGCTAACAAGAAACAGATAAAATTAATTTAAGTTAACCCAATGGACCCAAAATATTATTAACCCAACAGACCCAAAATATTAACCTAATAGATCCAAAATATTATTTTATTATACAAGTAGACTCAAAATATTATCATTTCAACATGTAATCATGTGTCATCTTGGAAAACATCAGATCCCTGTCTAGGTGGGCAAAGATTTTTCTTCGTAATATCTCATTTCCACATTTCCACTTGGCACAGAAACTGCCCCCAAGGCTCAGGATACTAAGATGCAGTAGGAATGGGTAGATGTATCTGGAGGAAAGTGACTGAATGAAATTGAGACATCAGAGTCTGGGGAACTCACTAGAACTACAGGGACAGTGTGGGGGAGGGAATTGGGAGATGTTGATCAAAGGATACAAACTATCAGGTATTCAGGAGGAATGGGTCTGAAGATCTCTTGTACAGCTTTGCCACTATGGTTGACAATACTGTACTCTATACTTGAAATTTACCAGGAAAGTAGATTTTTTTTTTTAAATATGGAACACTTCACGAATTTGCGTGTCATTCTTGCGCAGGGGCCATGCTAGTTTTCTCTGTATCGTTCCAATTTTAGTATATGTGCTGCCGAGGCAAGCATGGGAGAGTAGATTTTTTTTTTTTTTTTTTTTTTTGAGCTGGAGTCTTGCTCTGTCACCCAGGCTGGAGTGCAGTGGCGCGATCTCGGCTCACCGCAAGCTCCGCCTCCTGGGTTCACGCCATTCTCCTGCCTCAGCCTCCCGAGTAGCTGGGACTACAGGCGCCCGCCACCACGCCCTGCTAATTTTTTGTATTTTTAGTAGAGACGGGGTTTCACTGTGTTAGCCAGGATGGTCTCGATCTCCTGACCTCGTGATCCGCCTGCCTCGGCCTCCCAAAGTACTGGGATTACAGGCATGAGCCACCACGCCCGGCTGGGAGAGTAGATCTTAAGGGTCCTCACCACAAAAAAAAAAAAAAAAAAAAAAAAAAAAGAAACCATAGGCCGGGCGCGGTGGTTCACGCCTGTAATCCCAGCACTTTGGGAGGCCAAGACGGGCAGATCACTTGAGGTCAGGAGTTCAAGACCAGCATGGCCAACATGGTGAAACCCTGTCTCTACTAAAAATGCAAACATTAGCCAGGCGTGGTGACACAAGCCTGTAATCCCAGCTACTCAGGAGGCTGAGGCACGAGAATTGCTGGAACCTGGGAGCGGAGGTTGCAGTGAGCCAAGATGGCACCACTGCACTCTAGCCTGGGGGACAGAGTAAGACTTCCTCTCAAAAAAAAAAAAAAAAAAAACAATAACCCTGCGAGATGATGGATATAACTAGCTTGACTATGATGATCATGTCACCATGTATACATACATCAAAACATCAAGTGTAATACACCTTAAATATATACAATTTCCATTTGTCAATCATATCTCAATAAAGCTAAAAGAAACCTCTAAGTTTCAACTTTATTTTCAGAAAGCTGTGCCATGCTTACCTCAGTGCCTAAGTATACTCTAATTCATGGAAATGGCCTTTAAAACTGCAGAGAGTGGCTGGGTGCAGTGGCTCACGCCTATAATCCCAGCACTTTGGGAGGCGGAGGTGGGCAGATCACGAGGTCAGGAGTTCGAGATCAGCCTGGCCAACATGGTGAAACTCTGTCTCTACTAAAAATACAAAAAATAGCTGGGCATGGTGGCAGGTGCCTGTAAATCTGAGATACTCAGGAGGCTGAGACAGGAGAATCGTTTGAACTGGGGAGGCAGAGGTTGCAGTGAGCCGAGATCCTGCCATTGCACTCCAGCCTGGGCGACAGGGTGAGACTCCATCTCAAAAAAAAAAAAAATACTGCAGAGAGTTAAGGCCCTCACTGGACACTCTCCGGTACCTCTGAGGTCAGTGGATAGAGAAGCAGCTCCCCTTCTTCTTCCTCGAAACAAAGGCCTCCTTCCTTCTTAGGTGTTTGAGACAAATTCTCCACACAGGTGCAGCTGAGTGCTGTAAAGTCCCACTGAGAGTTGAAGGTCCCCACTGCCAGTCACAGTTCGGTCCCACTGAGGGTTGAAGGTCCCCACTGCCAGTCACAGTTTGGTCCCATTGAGGGTTGAGAGTCTCCACTGCCAGTCACAGTTTGGTCCCATTGAGGGTTGAGAGTCTCCACTGCCAGTCAGTTTGGGCTTATTAGGGTTTATGCTGTGCACGGAGAATGGAACCTACCAATCAACTCTTAGTGACCAGTTAGACAGATTCAAGGCAAATTTCCCTGCTGGGAAATCCCAAATCCCAAAATATGCAGAGACCAATAGATGCCTCAATTCTTCCGTGTCTCCGTCTAAATCCTTGGGTCACTGTGACTCCTGTAGTTATGTGGCTTGTAATTCCTTGGGCCGTAGAATGGCTATGATAGGCCCTGTGCTAAGGGGACTGGTGACAGTTGAGACAGGAACATGGAAGCTATAGTAGTCAGGGTTCTCCAGAAAAAAAAATAATCAACACTAATAATGATAGATATATAGATAATGATTGATAGACAAATAATGATAGATATATAATGATATCACAAATAATGATAGACATATAGTTGGATAATGACAGATATATAATGATTGATACACAGATAGGGTATTTATATATTGGCTTATGCAACTATGTAGACTGACAGGTCCCATGATCTGCCATCTGCAAGCTGGAGACCCAGGGGAGTCCACGTGTAGTTCCAGTCTACGTGCAAAAGTCTGAGAACCAGTAGAGTTAGTGGTATACGTAACAGTCCAAAAGCTAGCAGGCTCATGCCGGGCATGATGGCTCACGCCTGTAATCCCAACACTTTGGGAGACCAAGGCAGGCAGATCACCTGAGGTCAGAGTTCAAGACCAGCCCGGCCAACATGGTGAAACCCCATCTTTACTAAAAATACAAAAATTAGCCGGGCATAGTGGCATTCGCTTGTAATCCCAGCTACTCAGAGGCTGAGGTACGAGAATTGCTTGAACCCAAGAGGTGAAGGTTGCAGTGAGCCGAGATCATGCCACAGCACTCCAGCCTGGGTGACAGAGTGAGACTCTATCTCAAAAAAACAAACAAACAAAAAAAGCTGGCAGGCTTAACATCTAAAGAGTCAATGTTTTAGTGAGAGTTCAAGAGCCAGAAAAGACTGATGTCCAAGCAAAAGGAACTTCATCTTACATTACCAGTTCAATGTTTTGTTCTATTCAGGTCCCACCTGATTGAATGAGGCCGACTCACATTAGGGAGAGCAATCTGCTTTATAAATTACACTAATTCCATTGATAATCTCATTCAGCAACACCCCCACAGACACACACAGAATAATGTTTAACCAAATATCTCAGCACCCCATGGCTACGTTACCATTCCTGTTCCACAAAAGGAGGAAACAAAAGAACAAAACCACACCAAATGTTGTGGTAAGTTGACAAAATCTGTTCCAGCCCATTAGTAAATATTGGCCACTGAAGTTCCTGAAATTCAACAATTAGTAAGTATCTCTCTCCCAATAGAAAGCCACGTCATTTGTAAACCATAACAATAGCTTTTGTTTTTTTGAGACACAGTCTCGCTCTGTGTTGCCCAGGCTGGAGTGCAGTGATCTTGGCTCACTGCAACCTCTGCCTCCTGGGTTCAAGTGGCTCTCCTGCCTCAGCCTTCCGAGTAGCTGGAATTACAGGCACCCGCCACCACACCCAAGTAATTTTTTATATTTTTAGTAGAGACTGGGTTTCACCACATTGACCAGGCTGGTCTTAAATTCCTGAACTCAAGTGATTCACCTGCCTTGGCCTCCCAAAGTGCTGGGATTACAGGCATGAGCTACTGCACCCAGCCAACAATAGTATTTTTAATTAGGTCATCCTGCCTTTACAATCTCTGCATTTTAAATACTCAACTAAGAGTACAGCCATTATTTGTCTTTCACCCAAAGTCCCATTCAAGTGAGAACAAAGGAATGAATAAATAAGGCATAAGTAACAAAACAACAAAAAAAGAAAATTAGAATGCGGTCAATTTCATGCAATCATCAACACCAAATTTCCAGAACGTAGTATTTCCAAATTTCCCGAACGTAAATATGTATGTGGAAATTAACAAAATGTGGCAAAACAAAAGGTCACTTAAATTTGCACAAATGAAACAGTCAACATGGAAGCTGATCGGCTTTCTGAAATATGGGACAAGCTCAGGACTTCAAAATACTTCGGCGTTGGAAGGGCTAAGTTATGATGTATTAAAATGAAAATAAAGTGGGGCGCGGTGGCTCATGCCTGTAATCCCAGCACTTTGGGGGACCGAAGTGGGTGGATCACGAGGTCAGGAGATCGAGACCATCCTGGCTAACACGGTGAAACCCCGTTTCTACTGAAAATACAAAAAAAATTAGCCGGGCGTGGTGGCGGGTGCCTGTAGTCCCAGCTACTCGGGAGGCTGAGGCAGGAGAATAGCATGAACCCGGGAAGTGGAGCTTGCAGTGAGCTGAGATCACGCCACTGCACTCCAGCCTGGGCGACAGAGCAAGACTCCGTCTCAAAAAAAAAAAAAGAATAAATAAAATAAAATAAAATAGTAGAAGGTTTAATTAGGAATATTTCACTCTCCATACCTGAAGAATTCGTGATAGCCAGGAGTCTACAATCAAAATAACATAAATAATAAGATAAAAATAAAATTAATTTGAAGCCATAAAAAAAGAATGAGTTCATATGTTTTGTGGAAACATGGATGGAGCTGGAGGCCATTATCCTTAGCAAACTATACAAGAACAGAACACCAAATACAGCAGGTTCTCACTTATAAGTGGAAGCTAAATAATAGAACTCATGAACACAAAAAAGGGAAAAACAGACAATGGGGTCTCCTTTAGGGTGGAGGGTGGGAGGCGGGAAAGGAGCAGGAAAAGTAACTATTAGGTACCAAGCTTATTACCTAGGTGATGAAATAATCTGTACAACAAACCCCCATGACACAAGTTTACCTGTATAACAAACCTTCCCATGTACCCTTGAACCTAAAATAAAAGTTAAAAAAATACTCAATGAGCAACAATGTACATTATTTGAGGATAATTATATTAAAAGCCCAGACTTCACCACTACACAAAATATCCACGTAATAAAATTTCACTTGCGCTCCTTAAATTTATACAAATAAACAAAAAAGTATAATAAAATAGTAGATTCTTTCTTTAGAGATGACAAATAGTGCCAGAGAAAATGCCTCCACACTCTGGCATTGAGATCATCTCCAGGATAAGGGTATACTGCATGCCTGGTCAAGTCCAAGTAAATATACTCAGACCATGAATCTCAGAGATGAAACATAGGTTCAGAACAGACAAAGCCACAGAGCTTTTGACTAATGGCCCAGTGAAGGCAATGTCTGCCTGTATGGTATCCACCACCTTATATTCTGTCCCAAGCCCGTCTATTTGGATGTAGCATCTGGTTCAAAGATGAATTTGAACACCATTAGACACTGGCTTAATGAAAATTCACTTCTCATTCGTTTCTCATCTGAAACATAAATAGAAATACAGGTCTTAGGCAGGAGGATTTCTTGATGCCAGAAGTTAGAGACTACCCTGGCCAACATAGAAAGACCCCATCTCTATTTAAAAAAATATACATATATATGTCTTCTCTTGGGCTCCACCCAAGAGCAACCTGGAACTAAGTTATTCGGCAACGAACTGTTCCACTTTGCTGTGAGGCAATAGATGTGGAAATTCCCTGACGAGGGGCTCTGTCCTCATACTTCCTGCGGAGCTTATTGTCGTAAGAATATCTGTCATCCTGCTAATGTGCATTGAAAGGAGAGCAACGGGGCTGAGGCCGTGTCAGCACGATGGACCCCAAACAGACCACCCTCCTGTGTCTTGGTGAGTTTCAGAGTAAAAGTGGGTTAGAGGGGAAGATAGAGAAATCCCAAAATAATCAGGGTGTCTCTTAACAGTGTGACTAGGAGATTTTAGTGGCTGCCAAGGAGATTCTGATCTCCTTAGTGGAAAGGCCGTCTTTGTCAATGTATCTATAACTTTGTCTCTACCCAAGCCCAAGCTAGCTTGTGGGGCTCAAGGTTTAATATTTGTATTAAACCTATAGTGTGTTATCTGGGATTCATGATGGTCCCAAGGTTCTTATCAAGGAGAGACTTAGAGGCTGGAATCTGAAAGGTAAAAATAAAGAATGAACCTCAAAACTGTGATTGTTGTGGAAGGAAAACATATGATAGAACCCCATATAGAAATATGGTTACTAGTATTTTGTTGAAGATTTTTGCATTTATGTTCAACAAAGATATTATCCAGAAGTTTTCTGTTTTTGTTGTATCTCTGCCACATTTTGTTATCAGGATAATGTTGGCCTCATAGAATGAGTTGGGGAGGAGTCCCTCCTCCAGGATTTTTTTCAATAGTTTCAGTAGGAATAATACTAGCTCTTCTTGGCCGGGCGCAGTGGCTCACACCTGCAATCCCAGCACTTTGGGAGGCCAAGGCAGGCGGATCACAAGGTCAGGAGATCAAAACCATCCTGGCCAACATGGTGAAACCCTGTCTCTACTAAAAATACAAAAAAATTAGCCAGGCGTGGTGGCGGGCGCCTGTAGTCCCAGCTACTCGTGCGGCTGAGGCAGGAGAATGGCATGAACCTGGGAGGCAGAGCTTGCAGTGAGCCAAGATCATGCCACTGCACTCCAGCTTGGGCGACACAGCGAGACTCTGTGTCAAAAAAAAAAAAAAATGCCAGCTCTTCTTTATATATCTGGTGGGATTGAGCTGTGAATCCATCTGGTACTGGTCTTTTTCTGGTCTGTCATTACAGAGGGTGATTTGTCGTAAAGGTTGGAAATGGAAGCTTGATTTTTCATAAATCTCTCTCTTCCAGTGCTCTGTCTGGGCCAGAGGATTCAGGCACAGGAAGGTAAGTGTCCTGTAAATCTCTCCCAGCCCCTTTAGACCCTCTTGGGAGCTCTAGGATAAAGAAATTGAGGAATAGCCTGAAGCACCATTCTTATTTTAGTCCCCATTCTAGTTGTTTCTGCTGTGCTTCTCTTGCATAATTTCTATCTCACTTTGTTATCTCCAAACCCTTCAGACTCATTAATGCTCAGGCCTGGATTTATAGTTAGTCCTTGCCTGTGTTAGACTGTCCATGAAGGATCTGTAATTTACTGAATGCTCAAACTGCAAGAATGAGGAAGTCAGGAGTCATCTGCCCAATATCCTTCCTTATGCTGATTCTATTTTGTTTTAGCAACCCACTTCCTCCCGTCACTTCATTTAAAAGGATGCTGCCATAGTCTAACCCTACTGAACACTCTAGCATTCTGTAGTACTACTGCAGTACTAAGCATGAGGCAGTCTTAGTGTACTACTGAATATTCTGCCACCCCAACTACTACTGCCTTAGCCTCCTAATGGGTGTGAGCCCCACGTCCATCCATGTCTTCTCTCTTCCAGCTCCTTCTAAAGCCTGAATTATTTGTGTGTTGAACAATACTCATTCTTCCTATCCATGAGCATGGAATGTTTTTCCATTTGTTTGTGTCATCTATGATTTCTTTGACCAGTGTTTTGTAGTTCTCCTTGCAGAGATCTTTCACCTCCCTGGTTAGCTGTATTCCCAGGTATTTTATTCTTTTTGCAGTAATTGTGAATGGATTCTATTCTTGATTTGGCTCTCAGCTTAGATGTTTTTGGTGTATAGGAATGCTACTGATTTTTATATATTGATTTTGTATCCTGGAACTTTGCTAAAGTTGTTTATCAGATTAAGAAGTGTTTGGGCAGAGACTGTGGTTTTCTAGGTATAGAATCATATCACCTGCAAACAGGGATAGTTTGACTTCCTTTCTTCCTATTTGGATGCCTTTTATTTCTCTCTTGCCTGATTGCTCTAGCTAGGACCTCCAGTACTATGTTGAACAGAAGTAGTGAGAGACGGCATCCATGTCTTTTGCCAGTTTTCAAGGGGAATACTTCCAGCTTTTGCCCATTCAATATGATGTTGACTGTGAGTTTGTCATACATCATTCTTATTATTTTGAAATATGTTTCTTCAATGCCTAGTTTGTCGAGGTTTTTTAGCATAAAGGGATGTTGAATTTTATCAAAAGCTCTATTGAGAGGATTATGTGTGTGGGGAGGGTTGTTCTATTTATGTGATGAATCATATTTAAGATTTGTGTATATTGGCCGGGCACTGTGGCTCATGCCTGTAATCCCAGCACTTTGGGAAGCCAAGGCTTGTGGATCATGAGGTCAGGAGATCGACACCATCCTGGCTAACACGGTGAAACCTCGTCTATACTAAAAAATACAAAAAAATTAGCCAGGCATGGTGGCGGGCGCCTGTAGTCCCAGTTGCTCGGGAGGCTCAGGCAGGAGAATGGCATGAATCCAGGAGGCGGAGCTTGCAGTGAGCCAAGTTCACGCCACTACACTCCAGCCTGGGCAACAGAGCGAGACTCCTATATCGAATCAACCTTGCATCCCAGAAATAAAGCCTACCTGATGGTGGTGGATTAGCTTTCTGATGTGCTGCTGGATAGTTTGCTAGTATTTTGTTGAGGATTTTTGCATTTATGTTCAACAAGGATATTGTCCTGAAGTTTTCTGGTTTTGTTGTGTCTCTGCCATGTTTTTGCATCAAGATGATGCTGGTCTCATAGAATGAGCTGGGGAGGCATTCCTCCTCCTGAATATTTTTGGAACGTTTCAGTAGGTATAGTACCAGCTCTTCTTTATATATCAGATGGGATTCAGCTGTGAGTCTGTCTGGTACTGGGCTTTTTCTGGTCTGTAGGATTTTTATTACTGATTCAATTTTGGAGCTCATTATTGGTCTGTTCATGTATTCAATTTATTCTTGGTTTGATCTCAGGAGGGTGTATGTGTCCAGGAATTTCTCCATTTATTCTGGATTTTCTAGTTTGTGTGCATAGAGGTGTTCATAATATTCTCTGATGATTGTACTTCTGTGGGGTGAGTGGTAATATACCCTTTGTTGTTTCTAATTGTGTTTATCCGGATCATCTCTCTTTTCTTCTTTATTAGTCTAACTAGTCATCTGTCTTACTAATTTTTTCAAAAATTCTACTCCTCGATTTGCTGATCTTCTGAATGCTTGTTTGTGTCTCAATCTCCTTCAGCTCAGCTCTGATTTTGGTTATTTCTTGTTTCCTATGAGCTTTGGGGCTGATTTCCTCTTGGTTCTCTTAGTTCCTCTTGTTATGATGTTAGGGTGTTAATTTGAACTTTTTCTAGCTTTTTGACGTGGGAGTTTAGTGCTATAAACTTCCCCCTTAACACTGCCTTAGCTGTGTCCCAGAGATTCTGCTATATTTACCCAAAAATTCCAGAACAGACTGCTTAATTTCCATGCATTGTACAGTTTTGAGTGGTTTTCTTAGTATTTATTCCTATTTTTATTCCACTGTGCTCTGATTTCGCTTTTCTGGATTTGCTAAGGATTTTTTTTTTTTTTTTTTTTGAAATGGAGTCTTGCTCTGTCGCCCAGGCTGGAGTGCAGTGGCGCAATCTAGGCTCACTGCAAGCTCCGCCTCCCGGGTTCACACCATTCTCCTGCCTCAGCCTCCTGAGTAGCTGGGACTACAGGTGCCCGCCACCACGCCCGGCTAATTTTTTTTGTATTTTTAGTAAAGACGGGGTTTCACTGCGTTAGCCAGGATGGTCTCGATCTCCTGACCTCATGATCCGCCAGCCTTGGCTTCCCAAAGTGCTGGGATTACAGGTGTGAGCCACCGCGCCCAGCCTGCTAAGGATTGCTGTATGTCTGATTGTATGATTGACTTTAGAGTATGTGCCATGAGGCAATGAAAACAATGTAGATTCTGTTGTTTTGGGGGTGGAGAGTTCTGTAGATGTCTGTCAGGTCCATTTGATCCACTGCTGAGTTCAGGTCCTGAATATCTCTGTTTGCCTCAATGATCTAATACTGTCGGCGGGATGTTAAAGTCTCCCCCTATTATTGTGTGGTTGTCTAAGTCTCTTTGTTGGTCTCTCAGAACACGCTTTATGAATCCGGGTGCTTCCATGTTAGGTGCATATATATTTAGGATAGTTAGGTCTTCATGCTCTTTTTTTAATTTTTTTTTTCTTTTTCTTTTTGATTCAGCAGTTGGGCTATTACACACTCCTTAGCAGATTCCGACTTCCGTGGCCACTGTCCTGCTATGGTCTTCATGTTGAATTGAACCCTTTACCATGATTTAATGCCCTTCTTTGCCTTTTTTGATCTTTGTTGGTATAAAGTCTGTTTTGTCTGAAATTTTAATAGCAGCTCCTGCATTTTTTTTTTTTTTTTGGCTTTCCATTTGCTTGGTAGATTTTTCTCCATTTCTTTACTTTGAGCCTATGGATGTCATTGCATATGAGATGGGTTTCTTATAGGCAGCATAATGTTGAGTCTTGCTTTTTTTTTTTTTTTTTGAGATGGAGTCTCACTCTGTCACCCAGGCTGGAGTGCAGTGGCATGATCTTGACTCACTGCAACTTCTGCCTCCCAGGTTCAAATGATTCTCCTGCCTCAGCCTCCCAAATAGCTGGGATTACAGGTGTGTACCACCACGCCCAGCTATTTTTTTTTTTATTAGAGATGGGATTTCATCACATTGGCCAGGCTAATGTCGAACTCCTGACCTCAAATGATCCACCCACCTCAGCCTCCCAAAGTGCCGGGGTTACAGGCGTGAGCCACTGCACCTGGCCTCTTGCTTCTTTATCCAACTTGCCACTCTCTGCATTTTAATTAGGACAATTAGTCCATTTACATTCAAAGTTAGCATTTACATGTGCAGATTTTTTCCTGTCATCATGTTGTTAGCTGGTTTGGTTATTATGCAGACTTGTTTGTGTGGTTGTTTTATAGTGTCACTGGTTTATGTACGTAAGTGTGTTTTCTATTGGCTGGTGATGGTCTTTTCTTTCCATATTTAGCATTCCTCTTAGGACCTCTTGTAAGGCAGGCCTGATGGTAATAAATTCCCTCAGCATTTGCTTGTCTGTAAAGGATCTTATTTCTCCTTCACTTATGAAACTTAGTTTGGCTGGGAATGAGATTCTTGGTTGGAAATTCTTTTCATAAGAACATTAAATATAGGCCCCCAATCTCTTCTGGATTGTAGAGTTTCTGCTGAAAGGTCTGCTGTTAGCTCGATGGCATTCCCTTTGTAGGTGACATGCCCCTTCTTTTTTGCTGCCTTTTCACATTTTTTTTTTTTTTTTGAGACTGAGTCTTGCTCTGTTGCCCAGGCTGCCAGGCTGGAGTGCAATGGCGTGATCTCGGCTCACTGCAAGCTCCGCCTCCCGGATTCACGCCATTCTCCTGCCTCAGCCTCCCCAGTAGCTGGGACAACAGGTGCCCACCACCACGCCCAGCTAATTTTTTATATTTTTTTAGTAGAGATGGGGTTTCACCATGTTAGCCAGGATGGTCTCAATCTCCTGACGTCGTGATCCGCCCGCCTTGGTCTCCCAAAGTGCTGGGATTACAGGCGTGAGCCACCGCGCCCGGCCGACATTTCTTTCTTTCATTTCTACCTTGAAGAATCTGATGATTTTGTGTCTTGGGGATGCTCTTCTTGTGTAGTATTTTGCAGGGGTTCTCTTTGTTTCCTGCATTTGATTCTTGGCCTCTCTAGTGACGTTGGGGAAGTTTTCATGAACAATACACTGAAATATGTTTTCCATGTTCCTTGCTTTCTCCCCATCTCTTTCGGGGATGCCAATGGGCTATTTGGTCTCTTTTCATAATCCCATATTTCTTAGAGGTTTTGTTCATTATTTTTTATTCTTTTGTCTTCATTTTTGTCTGACTGAATTAGTTCAGAGAGCCAGTATTCATGCTCTGAGATTCTTTCCTTATTTTGCTTTATTCTGCCATTAATACTTGTGATCGCATTATGAAATCTCGTAGTGTGTTTTTCAGCTCCATCAGATCCGTTTGGTTCTTTCAAAATGACCATCTCATAGATTAGCCCCTCTGTCATTTTATTGTAATCTTTAGGTTCCTTGCATTGGGTTTCAACTTTCTCCTGAATCTTGATGACCTTAATTTCTATCCATATTCTGAATTCTATTTCTGTCATTTCAGCCAGGTAAAGAGCCCTTGCTGGGAAGCTTGTGTGGTAATTTGGAGGAAGGAAGACACTGTTGCTTTTTGAGTTGATGGAGTTCTTGCTCAGTTCTTTCTCATCCATGTGGGCTAATGTTCCTTTGAGTGTGCTGCAATTTGAATTTTTTTCTTTTTTCTTTTAACCGTGATGTAATTTGAGCACAGTCAGTAGACTTCTTTTCTGGATGGTTTCAGAGGGCTGGGGCTTCGCACAGGGTCTTTATTTATAGCTAAATTCTTGTCCTTGGTTTCACAGGGAGGTATATTAGCGAGCATTTTTGGTGTTGAAGTTTGGGCTGCAATCCGGTAAATGATGCTTCAGCACAACGGCCAGTAGGTCATTCCTCATGATTGCCGCTGTGCTCCCTCTCACGCTCTGAAAGTGCGGGCTCCTCTCCCACCCAAGTGCTGGCTGCAGATCTGGGCTCGGCACTCCCAGGCTGCACATCACAGCTCTGGGGTGAGCTCAGACTTTATGTTCCCTCCGTGGCTTGGGGGCAGCAGGGGAAGGGACCTTAGCAGCGGTTGTGGCAGACGGCCTTTCACTTGTCCCTTGGAACTCCACCCCAGAGAGATGTGGAGCCACTATCAGTGCGATGAGCCAAGAGTGGT